>NW_004504305.1:0-74013 GCF_000001405.40 Homo sapiens | reverse complement strand
TTCTGGTGGGTGCGTGGTCTCGCTGGCTTCAGGAGTGAAGCTGCAGACCTTCACAGTGAGTGTTACGGCTCTTAAGGCTGCACGTACGGAGTTGTTCATTCTTCCTGGTGGGTTTGTGGTCTCACTGGCCTCAGGAGTGAAACTGCAGTCCTTCCAGTGTTACAACTCATAAAGGCAGTGTGGACCCAATGAGGGAGCAGCAGCAGCAAGACTTACTGCAAACAGCAAAAGAATGATGGCAACCAGGTTGCCGCTGCTACTTCAGGCAGCCTGCTTTTATTCCCTTATCTGACCCCCACCCACATCCTGCTGATTGGCCCATTTTACAGACAGTGGATTGGTCCACTTACAGAGAGCTGATTGGTGCATTTACAATCCCTGAGCTAGACACAGAGTACTGATTGGTATATTTACAAACCTTGAGCTAGACACAGAGTGCTGAATGGTGTATTTACAATCCCTTAGCTAGACATAAAGGTTGTCCCAGTCCCCACTAGATTAGCTAGATAGAGTAGACAGAGAGCACTGATTGGTGCGTTTACAAACCTTGAGTTAGACACAGGGTGCTGACTGGTGTGTTTACAAACCCTGAGCTAGACACAGAGTGCTGATTGGTGTATTTACAATCTTTTAGCTAGAAATAAAGGTTCCCCAAGTCCCCACCAGATTAGCTAGATACAGAGTGCTAATTGGTGCATGCACGAACCCGGAGCTAGACACAGAGTGCTGATTGGTGCATATACAATCCTCTGGCTAGACATAAAAGTTCTCCAAGTCCCCACCTGACTCAGGAGCCCAGCCAGCTTCGCCTAGTGGATCCTATGCCAGGGCCACAGGCAGAGCTGCCTGCTAGTCCCACACCAGGCACCTGTACTCCTCAGCCCTTGGGCAGTGGACGGGACCAGGTGCCGTGGAGCAGTGGGAGGCACCCATCCGGGAGGCTTGGGCCTCGCAGGGAGCCCACCGTAGGGAGGCTTGGGCATGGCAGGCTGCAAGTCCTGAGCCCTGCCCCGCGGGGAGGTGACTGAGGCCTGGCGACAATTCAAGTGTGGTGAGCGCCGGCAGGCCAGCAGTACTGGGGGACCCGGTGCCCCCTCTGCAGCTGCTGGCCCAGGTGCTAAGCCCCTCACTGCCTGGGGCCAGAGGCACCAGCCGGCCGCTCCGAGTGCAGGGCCCGCTGAGCCCCTGCCCACCCAGAACTGGTGCTGGCCCGCGAGCAACCCAGGTTCCCGCACACGCCTCTCCCTCCATACCTCCCCGCAAGCAGACGGAGCCGGCTCCAGCCTCCACCAGTCCAGAGAGGGGCTCCCACAGTGCAGCGCTGGGCTGAAGGGCTCCTCAAGTGTGGTCAGAGCAGAAGCTGAGGCCGAGGAGGCGCTGAGAGCGAGCGAGGACCGCCAGCACGTTGACACCTCTCAACCTCACCACAGGACTGGCCACCTCTCTGGGCCCTCAGGGATGCTGCTGTCTGGACCCCTGACCAGTGACGAGTTCGCACTCAGGGCCAGGCTGGCGCTGGAGGAGGACACTTGTTTGGCTCCAACCCTAGGTACCATCCTCCCAGTAGGGATCAGGCAGGGCCCACAGGCCTGCCCTAGGGACAGGAGTCAACCTTGGACCCATAAGGCACTGGGGCGGGCAGAGAAGGAGGAGGTGGCATGGGCAGCTGAGAGCCAGAGACCCTGACCCTAGTCCTTGCTCTGCCATTACCCCGTGTGACCCCGGGCCCACCCTTCCCCACCCTTCCCCACCCCGGGCTTCTGTTTCCCTTCTGCCAACGAGAAGGCTGCTTCACCTGCCCCGAGTCCTGTCTTCCTGCTCTGCCTTCTGGGGCTGTGGCCCTTGCTGGCCTGGAGCCCCAACCAAGGGCAGGGACTGCTGTCCTCCACATCTGTCCTCACCGACATAATGGGCTGGGCTGGGCACACAGGCAGTGCCCAAGAGTTTCTAATGAGCATATGATTACCTGAGTCCTGGGCAGACCTTCTTAGGGAACAGCCTGGGACAGAGAACCACAGACACTCTGAGGAGCCACCTGAGGCCTCTTTTGCCAGAGGACCCTACAGCCTCCCTGGCAGCAGTTCCGCCAGCATTTCTGTAAATGCCCTCATGCCAGGGTGCGGCCCGGCTGTCAGCACGAGAGGGACGTTGGTCTGTCCCCTGGCACCGAGTCAGTCAGAAGGGTGGCCAGGGCCCCCTTGGGCCCCTCCAGAGACAATCCACTGTGGTCACACGGCTCGGTGGCAGGAAGTGCTGTTCCTGCAGCTGTGGGGACAGGGAGTGTGGATGAAGCCAGGCTGGGTTTGTCTGAAGACGGAGGCCCCGAAAGGTGGCAGCCTGGCCTATAGCAGCAGCAACTCTTGGATTTATTGGAAAGATTTTCTTCACGGTTCTGAGTCTTGGGGGTGTTAGAGGCTCAGAACCAGTCCAGCCAGAGCTCTGTCATGGGCACGTAGACCCGGTCCCAGGGCCTTTGCTCTTTGCTGTCCTCAGAGGCCTCTGCAAAGTAGAAACAGGCAGCCTTGTGAGTCCCCTCCTGGGAGCAACCAACCCTCCCTCTGAGATGCCCCGGGGCCAGGTCAGCTGTGGTGAAAGGTAGGGATGCAGCCAGCTCAGGGGAGTGGCCCAGAGTTCCTGCCCACCCAAGGAGGCTCCCAGGAAGGTCAAGGCACCTGACTCCTGGGCTGCTTCCCTCCCCTCCCCTCCCCAGGTCAGGAAGGTGGGAAAGGGCTGGGGTGTCTGTGACCCTGGCAGTCACTGAGAAGCAGGGTGGAAGCAGCCCCCTGCAGCACGCTGGGTCAATGGTCTTACCAGATGGATACGCAGCAACTTCCTTTTGAACCTTTTTATTTTCCTGGCAGGAAGAAGAGGGATCCAGCAGTGAGATCAGGCAGGTTCTGTGTTGCACAGACAGGGAAACAGGCTCTGTCCACACAAAGTCGGTGGGGCCAGGATGAGGCCCAGTCTGTTCACACATGGCTGCTGCCTCTCAGCTCTGCACAGACGTCCTCGCTCCCCTGGGATGGCAGCTTGGCCTGCTGGTCTTGGGGTTGAGCCAGCCTCCAGCACTGCCTCCCTGCCCTGCTGCCTCCCACTCTGCAGTGCTCCATGGCTGCTCAGTTGGACCCACGCTGGAGACGTTCAGTCGAAGCCCCGGGCTGTCCTTACCTCCCAGTCTGGGGTACCTGCCACCTCCTGCTCAGCAGGAATGGGGCTAGGTGCTTCCTCCCCTGGGGACTTCACCTGCTCTCCCTCCTGGGATAAGACGGCAGCCTCCTCCTTGGGGGCAGCAGCATTCAGTCCTCCAGGTCTCCTGGGGGTCGTGACCTGCAGGAGGAATAAGAGGGCAGACTGGGCAGAAAGGCCTTCAGAGCACCTCATCCTCCTGTTCTCACACTGGGGTGTCACAGTCCTGGGAAGTTCTTCCTTTTCAGTTGAGCTGTGGTAACCTTGTGAGTTTCCTGGAGGGGGCCTGCCACTACCCTTGGGACTCCCTGCCGTGTGTCTGGGTCTAACTGAGCTCTGAAAGGAGAGAGCCCCAGCCCTGGGCCTTCCAGGGGAAGCCTTACCTCAGAGGTTGGCTTCTTCCTACTCTTGACTTTGCGTCTCTGCAGAGGGAGGTGGGAGGGGTGACACAACCCTGACACCCACACTATGAGTGATGAGTAGTCCTGCCCCGACTGGCCCATCCTTTCCAGGTGCAGTCCCCCTTACTGTGTCTGCCAAGGGTGCCAGCACAGCCGCCCCACTCCAGGGGAAGAGGAGTGCCAGCCCTTACCCACCTGAGTGGGCACAGTGTAGCATTTATTCATTAGCCCCCACACTGGCCTGACCATCTCCCCTGTGGGCTGCATGACAAGGAGAGAGAACAGGCTGAGGTGAGAGCTACTGTCAACACCTAAACCTAAAAAATCTATAATTGGGCTGGGCAGGGTGGCTCACGCCTGTAATCCCAGCACTTTGGGAGGCCGAGATGGGTGGATCACCTGAGGTCAGATGTTCGAGACCAGCCTGGCCAACATGGTGAAACCCCGTCTCTACTAAAAATACAAAAAATTAGCTGGGCGTGGTGGTGGGTGCCTGTAATCCCAGCTACTCAGGAGGCTGAGGCAGGAGAATTGCTTGAACCTGGGAGGCAGAGGTTGCAGTGAGCCGAGATCACACCATTGCACTCCAGTCTGGGTGATAAGTATGAAACGCCATCTCCAAAACAAAAGAAAAGCCTAATTCCCCAAGAACTGTCAGTCTTTCACCTGTCTGCTAGCTCCCAGGGAGACCCCACTTGCCAGGGCTGTCTACATTTGTCCTGAGATCTCTTCTGGTGGGAACAGCACTTTCCTCAGGAAAGTTTGTTGAAAGTCATCAGATCCATGATTGAAAATCGAAGCTGCCTGTGGTGATGGATAACAGCTGGGGTTAAAAAGCAGCAGCTGGGGCATGAGCGGTCCACAGTGAGTTTTTGTTGTTGTTTTTGTTTTTTTGGGTGGGGGATGGGGTCTTGCTAGGTCTCAAACTCCTGGCCTCAAGTCATCCTCCCATTACAGCCTTCTGAGTCACTGACACTACAGGTGTGAGCCACCATGTCCAGCTTGTAGTGGTTTTGAACAGCTCTTGCCCCTTCTTGGGAATCTAGGTGCCCTGCACGTGGGTAAGGCTGTCTGCAGCTGTGCCCATATTCAGGAAGGCCGGCAAGGCCCTGAGCCCTCACCCGTGACTGACCTGAGGTGCTGTGCAGACAGCAGGTGACGGCTAAGGGAAAGTTGAGCACTGCCTAGCCGAGCACTGAAGCCACGCCCGGCACACAGAGAGAGACCCACTCGGCAAAGACTTCGCTTCCAGGCACCTAAGGAACTCTCTGACCAGTCATTAGCTGACCACTGCCGTAACTGAAGAGCGGCTTCAGTGGCCACAGCTCGCAGGGAATGGAGACATTAATGCTTAGTCAGAATTAGTTCAGAAAAGTCACCCAGCAAAGAAACAGCTCCAACAGGCAACAACAACAACACATCCTTGGCAGGGAAGAGAATCTGACTTCCGGAGTTGCCACATTATCGCCCGTGAAATGTCCAGGTTTTAACAAATTATGAGACATGGAAAGGAAACCGAAAGGACGACCCAGACACGGGAAAAGTCACCAATGGGACCAGCCCGATGCTGCAATTGCTAGACAAAGACGTTCAGTCAGCTCATTTAAATATGTTCAAAGACCTAAAACATGCTGCATCTGAGGCTGCACCGGCTGGAACCTGCTGATCTCGGAAGCTAAGCATGGTCAGGCCTGGCTAGTACTTCAAAGGGAGAAACCACGTGTAGGCCTGGTGCAGTGGCTCACACCTATAATCCTAGCACTCTGGGAAGCTGAGGCCCGTGGATTGCTTGAGCCCAGGAGTTTGAGAGCAGCTTGGGAAATGTGGTGAGACCCCCATCTCTACAAAAAATTTAAAAAATTAGCTGGCTGCCTATGGTCCCAGCCTCTCAGGATGCTGAGGTAGGAGGATCACTTCAGCCCAGGAAGTTGAGGCTGCAGTGAGCCATGACTGCATCACTGCACTCCAGCTTGGGCGACAGAGAGACCCTCTCCCAAGAAAAAGAAAAGAACCATGTCAAAAGAACTAACGAAAGTGTGGGAACAATGTCTCACCAATTAGAGAATATCAATAATGGGATGAACCTTATAAAAAGGGGCTGGGCATGGTGGCTCATGCCTATAATCCCAGCACTTTGGGAGGCTGAGGCGGGCATATCATGAGGTCAAGAGATTGAGACCAGCCTGGCCAACATGGTGAAACCCCGTCTCTACTTAAAATACAAAAATTAGCCGGGCGTGGTGGCACGTGCCTGTAATCCCAGCTACTCGGGAGGCTGAGGCAGGAGAATCGCTTGAACCCGAGAGGCAGAGATTGCAGTGAGCCGAGATTGCACCACTGCACTACAGCCTGGGTGACAGAGCGATACTCCAAAAAACAAAACAAAACAAAAAACAAAAAAAAAGTTTAAAAAGGAACCAAATAAAAATTCTGGAGTTGTAGGGTAAAATAAATGAAAATTCATCCCAGGGGCCCAAGAGCAGATTGGAACAATTGGAAGAAAGAGCCTGTGACTATGGAGAGAGGCCACCTGAGGTAGTCCCCTCTGAGGAACAGGAACAAGCATGAAGAGCAATGCACAGAGATCCAGAGACCTGGAGACGCCGTCAAGCTTTCCGACATACACACAATGGGAGTCCCAGGAAAGAAGACAGGGAGAAAGGAGTAAAGGAATAGTTGAAGAATTAATGGCTGAAAAACCTCCCAAATCTGATGAAAAATATTAATCCGTACATCCAAAAAGCTCATCAAACTCCAAGTAGGGTAAACTCAAAGAGATCTTCAGCCATACGCATCATCATAATCACTGTCAAAAGACAGATTTTTCTTTTTTTAGAATTTTAAATGTACCTTTTAATTTGCTCCTGGGGCAAAGAGCCAGGACTGGTACTAGAGCAGTGTCTGGGATGAGAAGAATTTAATAAAATGGGATTAGGTCCAATGGTTGGGTTAGGGGAGGCAACCTGCTCGGAAGGATCAGCCTCAACCTATCCATGCAGCAGGGCCTCCACCTGTCCCTCTCCGTAGTCCCACACCTGGAACCCAGAGCCATCTGCCTCTTCCCAGATCATGGCCGACAGCACTCCACCGGACTGCTGCTGGAGCAGGCACAGGATTCACTTATTGAGGGCTGTGGCCTGGCACAGATCATAGCCTATACCCAGGGACAGTTGTGTCACTTCTGCCACCACCACATCCGCCTTCTGCAGCCACATCAAGTACCACTCATGGATGAGCCCGTCACCCCCAGCGGACTTATCAACCCCGCGTCCAGCTCCACAGCCGCCACGTGCTCGGTGAGCACTGGCTCCAAGCATGGCAGCTGCCATACAATCCACCTGTAGAGGGCCCGGTCCTCCTGTCCTCAGTGGATGATCCCGTAGAAGTCCAGAGCTCGGCAGCTGCCCTCCCACAAAAGACAGGATTTTGAAAGCAGCAAGAGAGAAGAGACGTATCAGGTAGTCACAGTGGCTCAGGCCTGTAATCCCAGCACTTTGGGAGGCCCAGGTGGGAGGATCGCTTCACCCCAGGAATTCAAGACCAGCCTGGACAACTTGGAAGAACCCGGTCTCTACAAAAAATACAAAATTAGCTGGGATTGGGTGCGGTGGCTCATGCCTATAATCCCAGCACTTTGGGAGCCTGAGGTGGGTGGATCACCTGAAGTCAGGAGTTCAAGACTAGCCTGGCCAACATGGTGAAACCCTATCTCTACTGAAAATATAAAAAGCTAGACGTGGTGGCACACACCTGTAATCCCAGCTACTTAGGAGGCTGAGGCAGGAGAATTGCTTGAAGCCTAGAGGTGAAGGTTGTAGTGAGCCGAGATTGCATCATTGCACAATGGAGGGGAGCCACCAGCCTGGGCAACAAGAGGAAATCTCCGTCTCCAAAAAAAAAAAAAAAAAAAAAAAAGGATTAGGCTGGGTGGTGCCTGTAGTCCCAGCTACTTGGGAGGCAGGGGGTCCACTTGATGTCGAGACTGCAGTGAGCCATGATCCTGCCACTGCACTCCGGCCTGGGCAACAGAGTGAGACCCTGTCTAAAGAAAAAAAAAATAAAGCAACATATCCTGAACAAAGGATCCTCCATAACGTTCCCACCAGATTTCTAATCAGAAACATGGAGGCCAGAAAGCAGTGGAGGAGGACAACCCTCAGGCAGCCCGGGAGGATGTTGTCACAGGCTGGGGCAAGGGCCTTCCGGCTACCAACTGGGAGCTCTGGGAACAGCCCTGTTGCAAACAAGAAGCCATAGCCCGGCCAGAGCCCAGGAATGTGGGCTGGGCTGGGAGCAGCCTCTGGACAGGAGTGGTCCCATCCAGGAAACCTCCGGCATGGCTGGGAAGTGGGGTACTTGGTGCCGGGTCTGTATGTGTGTGTGACTGGTGTGTGTGAGAGAGAATGTGTGCCCTAAGTGTCAGTGTGAGTCTGTGTATGTGTGAATATTGTCTTTGTGTGGGTGATTTTCTGCGTGTGTAATCGTGTCCCTGCAAGTGTGAACAAGTGGACAAGTGTCTGGGAGTGGACAAGAGATCTGTGCACCATCAGGTGTGTGCATAGCGTCTGTGCATGTCAAGAGTGCAAGGTGAAGTGAAGGGACCAGGCCCATGATGCCACTCATCATCAGGAGCTCTAAGGCCCCAGGTAAGTGCCAGTGACAGATAAGGGTGCTGAAGGTCACTCTGGAGTGGGCAGGTGGGGGTAGGGAAAGGGCAAGGCCATGTTCTGGAGGAGGGGTTGTGACTACATTAGGGTGTATGAGCCTAGCTGGGAGGTGGATGGCCGGGTCCACTGAAACCCTGGTTATCCCAGAAGGCTTTGCAGGCTTCAGGAGCTTGGAGTGGGGAGAGGGGGTGACTTCTCCGACCAGGCCCCTCCACCGGCCTACCCTGGGTAAGGGCCTGGAGCAGGAAGCAGGGGCAAGAACCTCTGGAGCAGCCCATACCCGCCCTGGCCTGACTCTGCCACTGGCAGCACAGTCAACACAGCAGGTTCACTCACAGCAGAGGGCAAAGGCCATCATCAGCTCCCTTTATAAGGGAAGGGTCACGCGCTCGGTGTGCTGAGAGTGTCCTGCCTGGTCCTCTGTGCCTGGTGGGGTGGGGGTGCCAGGTGTGTCCAGAGGAGCCCATTTGGTAGTGAGGCAGGTATGGGGCTAGAAGCACTGGTGCCCCTGGCCGTGATAGTGGCCATCTTCCTGCTCCTGGTGGACCTGATGCACCGGCGCCAACGCTGGGCTGCACGCTACTCACCAGGCCCCCTGCCACTGCCCGGGCTGGGCAACCTGCTGCATGTGGACTTCCAGAACACACCATACTGCTTCGACCAGGTGAGGGAGGAGGTCCTGGAGGGCGGCAGAGGTGCTGAGGCTCCCCTACCAGAAGCAAACATGGATGGTGGGTGAAACCACAGGCTGGACCAGAAGCCAGGCTGAGAAGGGGAAGCAGGTTTGGGGGACTTCCTGGAGAAGGGCATTTATACATGGCATGAAGGACTGGATTTTCCAAAGGCCAAGGAAGAGTAGGGCAAGGGCCTGGAGGTGGAGCTGGACTTGGCAGTGGGCATGCAAGCCCATTGGGCAACATATGTTATGGAGTACAAAGTCCCTTCTGCTGACACCAGAAGGAAAGGCCTTGGGAATGGAAGATGAGTTAGTCCTGAGTGCCGTTTAAATCACGAAATCGAGGATGAAGGGGGTGCAGTGACCCGGTTCAAACCTTTTGCACTGTGGGTCCTCGGGCCTCACTGCTCACCGGCATGGACCATCATCTGGGAATGGGATGCTAACTGGGGCCTCTCGGCAATTTTGGTGACTCTTGCAAGGTCATACCTGGGTGACGCATCCAAACTGAGTTCCTCCATCACAGAAGGTGTGACCCCCACCCCCGCCCCACGATCAGGAGGCTGGGTCTCCTCCTTCCACCTGCTCACTCCTGGTAGCCCCGGGGGTCGTCCAAGGTTCAAATAGGACTAGGACCTGTAGTCTGGGGGGATCCTGGCTTGACAAGAGGCCCTGACCCTCCCTCTGCAGTTGCGGCGCCGCTTCGGGGACGTGTTCAGCCTGCAGCTGGCCTGGACGCCGGTGGTCGTGCTCAATGGGCTGGCGGCCGTGCGCGAGGCGCTGGTGACCCACGGCGAGGACACCGCCGACCGCCCGCCTGTGCCCATCACCCAGATCCTGGGTTTTGGGCCGCGTTCCCAAGGCAAGCAGCGGTGGGGACAGAGACAGATTTCCGTGGGACCCGGGTGGGTGATGACCGTAGTCCGAGCTGGGCAGAGAGGGCGCGGGGTCGTGGACATGAAACAGGCCAGCGAGTGGGGACAGCGGGCCAAGAAACCACCTGCACTAGGGAGGTGTGAGCATGGGGACGAGGGCGGGGCTTGTGACGAGTGGGCGGGGCCACTGCCGAGACCTGGCAGGAGCCCAATGGGTGAGGCTGGCGCATTTCCCAGCTGGAATCCGGTGTCGAAGTGGGGGGCGGGGACCGCACCTGTGCTGTAAGCTCAGTGTGGGTGGCGCGGGGCCCGCGGGGTCTTCCCTGAGTGCAAAGGCGGTCAGGGTGGGCAGAGACGAGGTGGGGCAAAGCCCTGCCCCAGCCAAGGGAGCAAGGTGGATGCACAAAGAGTGGGCCCTGTGACCAGCTGGACAGAGCCAGGGACTGCGGGAGACCAGGGGGAGCATAGGGTTGGAGTGGGTGGTGGATGGTGGGGCTAATGCCTTCATGGCCACGCGCACGTGCCCGTCCCACCCCCAGGGGTGTTCCTGGCGCGCTATGGGCCCGCGTGGCGCGAGCAGAGGCGCTTCTCCGTCTCCACCTTGCGCAACTTGGGCCTGGGCAAGAAGTCGCTGGAGCAGTGGGTGACCGAGGAGGCCGCCTGCCTTTGTGCCGCCTTCGCCAACCACTCCGGTGGGTGATGGGCAGAAGGGCACAAAGCGGGAACTGGGAAGGCGGGGGACGGGGAAGGCGACCCCTTACCCGCATCTCCCACCCCCAAGACGCCCCTTTCGCCCCAACGGTCTCTTGGACAAAGCCGTGAGCAACGTGATCGCCTCCCTCACCTGCGGGCGCCGCTTCGAGTACGACGACCCTCGCTTCCTCAGGCTGCTGGACCTAGCTCAGGAGGGACTGAAGGAGGAGTCGGGCTTTCTGCGCGAGGTGCGGAGCGAGAGACCGAGGAGTCTCTGCAGGGCGAGCTCCCGAGAGGTGCCGGGGCTGGACTGGGGCCTCGGAAGAGCAGGATTTGCGTAGATGGGTTTGGGAAAGGACATTCCAGGAGACCCCACTGTAAGAAGGGCCTGGAGGAGGAGGGGACATCTCAGACATGGTCGTGGGAGAGGTGTGCCCGGGTCAGGGGGCACCAGGAGAGGCCAAGGACTCTGTACCTCCTATCCACGTCAGAGATTTCGATTTTAGGTTTCTCCTCTGGGCAAGGAGAGAGGGTGGAGGCTGGCACTTGGGGAGGGACTTGGTGAGGTCAGTGGTAAGGACAGGCAGGCCCTGGGTCTACCTGGAGATGGCTGGGGCCTGAGACTTGTCCAGGTGAACGCAGAGCACAGGAGGGATTGAGACCCCGTTCTGTCTGGTGTAGGTGCTGAATGCTGTCCCCGTCCTCCTGCATATCCCAGCGCTGGCTGGCAAGGTCCTACGCTTCCAAAAGGCTTTCCTGACCCAGCTGGATGAGCTGCTAACTGAGCACAGGATGACCTGGGACCCAGCCCAGCCCCCCCGAGACCTGACTGAGGCCTTCCTGGCAGAGATGGAGAAGGTGAGAGTGGCTGCCACGGTGGGGGGCAAGGGTGGTGGGTTGAGCGTCCCAGGAGGAATGAGGGGAGGCTGGGCAAAAGGTTGGACCAGTGCATCACCCGGCGAGCCGCATCTGGGCTGACAGGTGCAGAATTGGAGGTCATTTGGGGGCTACCCCGTTCTGTCCCGAGTATGCTCTCGGCCCTGCTCAGGCCAAGGGGAACCCTGAGAGCAGCTTCAATGATGAGAACCTGCGCATAGTGGTGGCTGACCTGTTCTCTGCCGGGATGGTGACCACCTCGACCACGCTGGCCTGGGGCCTCCTGCTCATGATCCTACATCCGGATGTGCAGCGTGAGCCCATCTGGGAAACAGTGCAGGGGCCGAGGGAGGAAGGGTACAGGCGGGGGCCCATGAACTTTGCTGGGACACCCGGGGCTCCAAGCACAGGCTTGACCAGGATCCTGTAAGCCTGACCTCCTCCAACATAGGAGGCAAGAAGGAGTGTCAGGGCCGGACCCCCTGGGTGCTGACCCATTGTGGGGACGCATGTCTGTCCAGGCCGTGTCCAACAGGAGATCGACGACGTGATAGGGCAGGTGCGGCGACCAGAGATGGGTGACCAGGCTCACATGCCCTACACCACTGCCGTGATTCATGAGGTGCAGCGCTTTGGGGACATCGTCCCCCTGGGTGTGACCCATATGACATCCCGTGACATCGAAGTACAGGGCTTCCGCATCCCTAAGGTAGGCCTGGCGCCCTCCTCACCCCAGCTCAGCACCAGCCCCTGGTGATAGCCCCAGCATGGCTACTGCCAGGTGGGCCCACTCTAGGAACCCTGGCCACCTAGTCCTCAATGCCACCACACTGACTGTCCCCACTTGGGTGGGGGGTCCAGAGTATAGGCAGGGCTGGCCTGTCCATCCAGAGCCCCCGTCTAGTGGGGAGACAAACCAGGACCTGCCAGAATGTTGGAGGACCCAGCGCCTGCAGGGAGAGGGGGCAGTGTGGGTGCCTCTGAGAGGTGTGACTGCGCCCTGCTGTGGGGTCGGAGAGGGTACTGTGGAGCTTCTCGGGCGCAGGACTAGTTGACAGAGTCCAGCTGTGTGCCAGGCAGTGTGTGTCCCCCGTGTGTTTGGTGGCAGGGGTCCCAGCATCCTAGAGTCCAGTCCCCACTCTCACCCTGCATCTCCTGCCCAGGGAACGACACTCATCACCAACCTGTCATCGGTGCTGAAGGATGAGGCCGTCTGGGAGAAGCCCTTCCGCTTCCACCCCGAACACTTCCTGGATGCCCAGGGCCACTTTGTGAAGCCGGAGGCCTTCCTGCCTTTCTCAGCAGGTGCCTGTGGGGAGCCCGGCTCCCTGTCCCCTTCCGTGGAGTCTTGCAGGGGTATCACCCAGGAGCCAGGCTCACTGACGCCCCTCCCCTCCCCACAGGCCGCCGTGCATGCCTCGGGGAGCCCCTGGCCCGCATGGAGCTCTTCCTCTTCTTCACCTCCCTGCTGCAGCACTTCAGCTTCTCGGTGCCCACTGGACAGCCCCGGCCCAGCCACCATGGTGTCTTTGCTTTCCTGGTGACCCCATCCCCCTATGAGCTTTGTGCTGTGCCCCGCTAGAATGGGGTACCTAGTCCCCAGCCTGCTCCCTAGCCAGAGGCTCTAATGTACAATAAAGCAATGTGGTAGTTCCAACTCGGGTCCCCTGCTCACGCCCTCGTTGGGATCATCCTCCTCAGGGCAACCCCACCCCTGCCTCATTCCTGCTTACCCCACCGCCTGGCCGCATTTGAGACAGGGGTATGTTGAGGCTGAGCAGATGTCAGTTACCCTTGCCCATAATCCCATGTCCCCCACTGACCCAACTCTGACTGCCCAGATTGGTGACAAGGACTACATTGTCCTGGCATGTGGGGAAGGGGCCAGAATGGGCTGACTAGAGGTGTCAGTCAGCCCTGGATGTGGTGGAGAGGGCAGGACTCAGCCTGGAGGCCCATATTTCAGGCCTAACTCAGCCCACCCCACATCAGGGACAGCAGTCCTGCCAGCACCATCACAACAGTCACCTCCCTTCATATATGACACCCCAAAACGGAAGACAAATCATGGCGTCAGGGAGCTATAGGCCAGGGCTACCTACCTCCCAGGGCTCAGTCGGCAGGTGCCAGAACGTTCCCTGGGAAGGCCCCATGGAAGCCCAGGACTGAGCCACCGCCCTCAGCCTCGTCACCTCACCACAGGACTGGCTACCTCTCTGGGCCCTCAGGGACGCTGCTGTACAGACCCCTGACCAGTGACGAGTTCGCACTCAGGGCCAGGCTGGCGCTGGAGGAGGACACTTGTTTGGCTCCAACCCTAGGTACCATCCTCCCAGTAGGGATCAGGCAGGGCCCACAGGCCTGCCCTAGGGACAGGAGTCAACCTTGGACCCATAAGGCACTGGGGCGGGCAGAGAAGGAGGAGGTGGCATGGGCAGCTGAGAGCCAGAGACCCTGACCCTAGTCCTTGCTCTGCCATTACCCCGTGTGACCCCGGGCCCACCCTTCCCCACCCTTCCCCACCCTTCCCCACCCCGGGCTTCTGTTTCCCTTCTGCCAACGAGAAGGCTGCTTCACCTGCCCCGAGTCCTGTCTTCCTGCTCTGCCTTCTGGGGCTGTGGCCCTTGCTGGCCTGGAGCCCCAACCAAGGGCAGGGACTGCTGTCCTCCACGTCTGTCCTCACCGACATAATGGGCTGGGCTGGGCACACAGGCAGTGCCCAAGAGTTTCTAATGAGCATATGATTACCTGAGTCCTGGGCAGACCTTCTTAGGGAACAGCCTGGGACAGAGAACCACAGACACTCTGAGGAGCCACCTGAGGCCTCTTTTGCCAGAGGACCCTACAGCCTCCCTGGCAGCAGTTCCGCCAGCATTTCTGTAAATGCCCTCATGCCAGGGTGCGGCCCGGCTGTCAGCACGAGAGGGACGTTGGTCTGTCCCCTGGCACCGAGTCAGTCAGAAGGGTGGCCAGGGCCCCCTTGGGCCCCTCCAGAGACAATCCACTGTGGTCACACGGCTCGGTGGCAGGAAGTGCTGTTCCTGCAGCTGTGGGGACAGGGAGTGTGGATGAAGCCAGGCTGGGTTTGTCTGAAGACGGAGGCCCCGAAAGGTGGCAGCCTGGCCTATAGCAGCAGCAACTCTTGGATTTATTGGAAAGATTTTCTTCACGGTTCTGAGTCTTGGGGGTGTTAGAGGCTCAGAACCAGTCCAGCCAGAGCTCTGTCATGGGCACGTAGACCCGGTCCCAGGGCCTTTGCTCTTTGCTGTCCTCAGAGGCCTCTGCAAAGTAGAAACAGGCAGCCTTGTGAGTCCCCTCCTGGGAGCAACCAACCCTCCCTCTGAGATGCCCCGGGGCCAGGTCAGCTGTGGTGAAAGGTAGGGATGCAGCCAGCTCAGGGGAGTGGCCCAGAGTTCCTGCCCACCCAAGGAGGCTCCCAGGAAGGTCAAGGCACCTGACTCCTGGGCTGCTTCCCTCCCCTCCCCTCCCCAGGTCAGGAAGGTGGGAAAGGGCTGGGGTGTCTGTGACCCTGGCAGTCACTGAGAAGCAGGGTGGAAGCAGCCCCCTGCAGCACGCTGGGTCAATGGTCTTACCAGATGGATACGCAGCAACTTCCTTTTGAACCTTTTTATTTTCCTGGCAGGAAGAAGAGGGATCCAGCAGTGAGATCAGGCAGGTTCTGTGTTGCACAGACAGGGAAACAGGCTCTGTCCACACAAAGTCGGTGGGGCCAGGATGAGGCCCAGTCTGTTCACACATGGCTGCTGCCTCTCAGCTCTGCACAGACGTCCTCGCTCCCCTGGGATGGCAGCTTGGCCTGCTGGTCTTGGGGTTGAGCCAGCCTCCAGCACTGCCTCCCTGCCCTGCTGCCTCCCACTCTGCAGTGCTCCATGGCTGCTCAGTTGGACCCACGCTGGAGACGTTCAGTCGAAGCCCCGGGCTGTCCTTACCTCCCAGTCTGGGGTACCTGCCACCTCCTGCTCAGCAGGAATGGGGCTAGGTGCTTCCTCCCCTGGGGACTTCACCTGCTCTCCCTCCTGGGATAAGACGGCAGCCTCCTCCTTGGGGGCAGCAGCATTCAGTCCTCCAGGTCTCCTGGGGGTCGTGACCTGCAGGAGGAATAAGAGGGCAGACTGGGCAGAAAGGCCTTCAGAGCACCTCATCCTCCTGTTCTCACACTGGGGTGTCACAGTCCTGGGAAGTTCTTCCTTTTCAGTTGAGCTGTGGTAACCTTGTGAGTTTCCTGGAGGGGGCCTGCCACTACCCTTGGGACTCCCTGCCGTGTGTCTGGGTCTAACTGAGCTCTGAAAGGAGAGAGCCCCAGCCCTGGGCCTTCCAGGGGAAGCCTTACCTCAGAGGTTGGCTTCTTCCTACTCTTGACTTTGCGTCTCTGCAGAGGGAGGTGGGAGGGGTGACACAACCCTGACACCCACACTATGAGTGATGAGTAGTCCTGCCCCGACTGGCCCATCCTTTCCAGGTGCAGTCCCCCTTACTGTGTCTGCCAAGGGTGCCAGCACAGCCGCCCCACTCCAGGGGAAGAGGAGTGCCAGCCCTTACCCACCTGAGTGGGCACAGTGTAGCATTTATTCATTAGCCCCCACACTGGCCTGACCATCTCCCCTGTGGGCTGCATGACAAGGAGAGAGAACAGGCTGAGGTGAGAGCTACTGTCAACACCTAAACCTAAAAAATCTATAATTGGGCTGGGCAGGGTGGCTCACGCCTGTAATCCCAGCACTTTGGGAGGCCGAGATGGGTGGATCACCTGAGGTCAGATGTTCGAGACCAGCCTGGCCAACATGGTGAAACCCCGTCTCTACTAAAAATACAAAAAATTAGCTGGGCGTGGTGGTGGGTGCCTGTAATCCCAGCTACTCAGGAGGCTGAGGCAGGAGAATTGCTTGAACCTGGGAGGCAGAGGTTGCAGTGAGCCGAGATCACACCATTGCACTCCAGTCTGGGTGATAAGTATGAAACGCCATCTCCAAAACAAAAGAAAAGCCTAATTCCCCAAGAACTGTCAGTCTTTCACCTGTCTGCTAGCTCCCAGGGAGACCCCACTTGCCAGGGCTGTCTACATTTGTCCTGAGATCTCTTCTGGTGGGAACAGCACTTTCCTCAGGAAAGTTTGTTGAAAGTCATCAGATCCATGATTGAAAATCGAAGCTGCCTGTGGTGATGGATAACAGCTGGGGTTAAAAAGCAGCAGCTGGGGCATGAGCGGTCCACAGTGAGTTTTTGTTGTTGTTTTTGTTTTTTTGGGTGGGGGATGGGGTCTTGCTAGGTCTCAAACTCCTGGCCTCAAGTCATCCTCCCATTACAGCCTTCTGAGTCACTGACACTACAGGTGTGAGCCACCATGTCCAGCTTGTAGTGGTTTTGAACAGCTCTTGCCCCTTCTTGGGAATCTAGGTGCCCTGCACGTGGGTAAGGCTGTCTGCAGCTGTGCCCATATTCAGGAAGGCCGGCAAGGCCCTGAGCCCTCACCCGTGACTGACCTGAGGTGCTGTGCAGACAGCAGGTGACGGCTAAGGGAAAGTTGAGCACTGCCTAGCCGAGCACTGAAGCCACGCCCGGCACACAGAGAGAGACCCACTCGGCAAAGACTTCGCTTCCAGGCACCTAAGGAACTCTCTGACCAGTCATTAGCTGACCACTGCCGTAACTGAAGAGCGGCTTCAGTGGCCACAGCTCGCAGGGAATGGAGACATTAATGCTTAGTCAGAATTAGTTCAGAAAAGTCACCCAGCAAAGAAACAGCTCCAACAGGCAACAACAACAACACATCCTTGGCAGGGAAGAGAATCTGACTTCCGGAGTTGCCACATTATCGCCCGTGAAATGTCCAGGTTTTAACAAATTATGAGACATGGAAAGGAAACCGAAAGGACGACCCAGACACGGGAAAAGTCACCAATGGGACCAGCCCGATGCTGCAATTGCTAGACAAAGACGTTCAGTCAGCTCATTTAAATATGTTCAAAGACCTAAAACATGCTGCATCTGAGGCTGCACCGGCTGGAACCTGCTGATCTCGGAAGCTAAGCATGGTCAGGCCTGGCTAGTACTTCAAAGGGAGAAACCACGTGTAGGCCTGGTGCAGTGGCTCACACCTATAATCCTAGCACTCTGGGAAGCTGAGGCCCGTGGATTGCTTGAGCCCAGGAGTTTGAGAGCAGCTTGGGAAATGTGGTGAGACCCCCATCTCTACAAAAAATTTAAAAAATTAGCTGGCTGCCTATGGTCCCAGCCTCTCAGGATGCTGAGGTAGGAGGATCACTTCAGCCCAGGAAGTTGAGGCTGCAGTGAGCCATGACTGCATCACTGCACTCCAGCTTGGGCGACAGAGAGACCCTCTCCCAAGAAAAAGAAAAGAACCATGTCAAAAGAACTAACGAAAGTGTGGGAACAATGTCTCACCAATTAGAGAATATCAATAATGGGATGAACCTTATAAAAAGGGGCTGGGCATGGTGGCTCATGCCTATAATCCCAGCACTTTGGGAGGCTGAGGCGGGCATATCATGAGGTCAAGAGATTGAGACCAGCCTGGCCAACATGGTGAAACCCCGTCTCTACTTAAAATACAAAAATTAGCCGGGCGTGGTGGCACGTGCCTGTAATCCCAGCTACTCGGGAGGCTGAGGCAGGAGAATCGCTTGAACCCGAGAGGCAGAGATTGCAGTGAGCCGAGATTGCACCACTGCACTACAGCCTGGGTGACAGAGCGATACTCCAAAAAACAAAACAAAACAAAAAACAAAAAAAAAGTTTAAAAAGGAACCAAATAAAAATTCTGGAGTTGTAGGGTAAAATAAATGAAAATTCATCCCAGGGGCCCAAGAGCAGATTGGAACAATTGGAAGAAAGAGCCTGTGACTATGGAGAGAGGCCACCTGAGGTAGTCCCCTCTGAGGAACAGGAACAAGCATGAAGAGCAATGCACAGAGATCCAGAGACCTGGAGACGCCGTCAAGCTTTCCGACATACACACAATGGGAGTCCCAGGAAAGAAGACAGGGAGAAAGGAGTAAAGGAATAGTTGAAGAATTAATGGCTGAAAAACCTCCCAAATCTGATGAAAAATATTAATCCGTACATCCAAAAAGCTCATCAAACTCCAAGTAGGGTAAACTCAAAGAGATCTTCAGCCATACGCATCATCATAATCACTGTCAAAAGACAGATTTTTCTTTTTTTAGAATTTTAAATGTACCTTTTAATTTGCTCCTGGGGCAAAGAGCCAGGACTGGTACTAGAGCAGTGTCTGGGATGAGAAGAATTTAATAAAATGGGATTAGGTCCAATGGTTGGGTTAGGGGAGGCAACCTGCTCGGAAGGATCAGCCTCAACCTATCCATGCAGCAGGGCCTCCACCTGTCCCTCTCCGTAGTCCCACACCTGGAACCCAGAGCCATCTGCCTCTTCCCAGATCATGGCCGACAGCACTCCACCGGACTGCTGCTGGAGCAGGCACAGGATTCACTTATTGAGGGCTGTGGCCTGGCACAGATCATAGCCTATACCCAGGGACAGTTGTGTCACTTCTGCCACCACCACATCCGCCTTCTGCAGCCACATCAAGTACCACTCATGGATGAGCCCGTCACCCCCAGCGGACTTATCAACCCCGCGTCCAGCTCCACAGCCGCCACGTGCTCGGTGAGCACTGGCTCCAAGCATGGCAGCTGCCATACAATCCACCTGTAGAGGGCCCGGTCCTCCTGTCCTCAGTGGATGATCCCGTAGAAGTCCAGAGCTCGGCAGCTGCCCTCCCACAAAAGACAGGATTTTGAAAGCAGCAAGAGAGAAGAGACGTATCAGGTAGTCACAGTGGCTCAGGCCTGTAATCCCAGCACTTTGGGAGGCCCAGGTGGGAGGATCGCTTCACCCCAGGAATTCAAGACCAGCCTGGACAACTTGGAAGAACCCGGTCTCTACAAAAAATACAAAATTAGCTGGGATTGGGTGCGGTGGCTCATGCCTATAATCCCAGCACTTTGGGAGCCTGAGGTGGGTGGATCACCTGAAGTCAGGAGTTCAAGACTAGCCTGGCCAACATGGTGAAACCCTATCTCTACTGAAAATATAAAAAGCTAGACGTGGTGGCACACACCTGTAATCCCAGCTACTTAGGAGGCTGAGGCAGGAGAATTGCTTGAAGCCTAGAGGTGAAGGTTGTAGTGAGCCGAGATTGCATCATTGCACAATGGAGGGGAGCCACCAGCCTGGGCAACAAGAGGAAATCTCCGTCTCCAAAAAAAAAAAAAAAAAAAAAAAAAGGATTAGGCTGGGTGGTGCCTGTAGTCCCAGCTACTTGGGAGGCAGGGGGTCCACTTGATGTCGAGACTGCAGTGAGCCATGATCCTGCCACTGCACTCCGGCCTGGGCAACAGAGTGAGACCCTGTCTAAAGAAAAAAAAAATAAAGCAACATATCCTGAACAAAGGATCCTCCATAACGTTCCCACCAGATTTCTAATCAGAAACATGGAGGCCAGAAAGCAGTGGAGGAGGACAACCCTCAGGCAGCCCGGGAGGATGTTGTCACAGGCTGGGGCAAGGGCCTTCCGGCTACCAACTGGGAGCTCTGGGAACAGCCCTGTTGCAAACAAGAAGCCATAGCCCGGCCAGAGCCCAGGAATGTGGGCTGGGCTGGGAGCAGCCTCTGGACAGGAGTGGTCCCATCCAGGAAACCTCCGGCATGGCTGGGAAGTGGGGTACTTGGTGCCGGGTCTGTATGTGTGTGTGACTGGTGTGTGTGAGAGAGAATGTGTGCCCTAAGTGTCAGTGTGAGTCTGTGTATGTGTGAATATTGTCTTTGTGTGGGTGATTTTCTGCGTGTGTAATCGTGTCCCTGCAAGTGTGAACAAGTGGACAAGTGTCTGGGAGTGGACAAGAGATCTGTGCACCATCAGGTGTGTGCATAGCGTCTGTGCATGTCAAGAGTGCAAGGTGAAGTGAAGGGACCAGGCCCATGATGCCACTCATCATCAGGAGCTCTAAGGCCCCAGGTAAGTGCCAGTGACAGATAAGGGTGCTGAAGGTCACTCTGGAGTGGGCAGGTGGGGGTAGGGAAAGGGCAAGGCCATGTTCTGGAGGAGGGGTTGTGACTACATTAGGGTGTATGAGCCTAGCTGGGAGGTGGATGGCCGGGTCCACTGAAACCCTGGTTATCCCAGAAGGCTTTGCAGGCTTCAGGAGCTTGGAGTGGGGAGAGGGGGTGACTTCTCCGACCAGGCCCCTCCACCGGCCTACCCTGGGTAAGGGCCTGGAGCAGGAAGCAGGGGCAAGAACCTCTGGAGCAGCCCATACCCGCCCTGGCCTGACTCTGCCACTGGCAGCACAGTCAACACAGCAGGTTCACTCACAGCAGAGGGCAAAGGCCATCATCAGCTCCCTTTATAAGGGAAGGGTCACGCGCTCGGTGTGCTGAGAGTGTCCTGCCTGGTCCTCTGTGCCTGGTGGGGTGGGGGTGCCAGGTGTGTCCAGAGGAGCCCATTTGGTAGTGAGGCAGGTATGGGGCTAGAAGCACTGGTGCCCCTGGCCGTGATAGTGGCCATCTTCCTGCTCCTGGTGGACCTGATGCACCGGCGCCAACGCTGGGCTGCACGCTACTCACCAGGCCCCCTGCCACTGCCCGGGCTGGGCAACCTGCTGCATGTGGACTTCCAGAACACACCATACTGCTTCGACCAGGTGAGGGAGGAGGTCCTGGAGGGCGGCAGAGGTGCTGAGGCTCCCCTACCAGAAGCAAACATGGATGGTGGGTGAAACCACAGGCTGGACCAGAAGCCAGGCTGAGAAGGGGAAGCAGGTTTGGGGGACTTCCTGGAGAAGGGCATTTATACATGGCATGAAGGACTGGATTTTCCAAAGGCCAAGGAAGAGTAGGGCAAGGGCCTGGAGGTGGAGCTGGACTTGGCAGTGGGCATGCAAGCCCATTGGGCAACATATGTTATGGAGTACAAAGTCCCTTCTGCTGACACCAGAAGGAAAGGCCTTGGGAATGGAAGATGAGTTAGTCCTGAGTGCCGTTTAAATCACGAAATCGAGGATGAAGGGGGTGCAGTGACCCGGTTCAAACCTTTTGCACTGTGGGTCCTCGGGCCTCACTGCTCACCGGCATGGACCATCATCTGGGAATGGGATGCTAACTGGGGCCTCTCGGCAATTTTGGTGACTCTTGCAAGGTCATACCTGGGTGACGCATCCAAACTGAGTTCCTCCATCACAGAAGGTGTGACCCCCACCCCCGCCCCACGATCAGGAGGCTGGGTCTCCTCCTTCCACCTGCTCACTCCTGGTAGCCCCGGGGGTCGTCCAAGGTTCAAATAGGACTAGGACCTGTAGTCTGGGGGGATCCTGGCTTGACAAGAGGCCCTGACCCTCCCTCTGCAGTTGCGGCGCCGCTTCGGGGACGTGTTCAGCCTGCAGCTGGCCTGGACGCCGGTGGTCGTGCTCAATGGGCTGGCGGCCGTGCGCGAGGCGCTGGTGACCCACGGCGAGGACACCGCCGACCGCCCGCCTGTGCCCATCACCCAGATCCTGGGTTTTGGGCCGCGTTCCCAAGGCAAGCAGCGGTGGGGACAGAGACAGATTTCCGTGGGACCCGGGTGGGTGATGACCGTAGTCCGAGCTGGGCAGAGAGGGCGCGGGGTCGTGGACATGAAACAGGCCAGCGAGTGGGGACAGCGGGCCAAGAAACCACCTGCACTAGGGAGGTGTGAGCATGGGGACGAGGGCGGGGCTTGTGACGAGTGGGCGGGGCCACTGCCGAGACCTGGCAGGAGCCCAATGGGTGAGGCTGGCGCATTTCCCAGCTGGAATCCGGTGTCGAAGTGGGGGGCGGGGACCGCACCTGTGCTGTAAGCTCAGTGTGGGTGGCGCGGGGCCCGCGGGGTCTTCCCTGAGTGCAAAGGCGGTCAGGGTGGGCAGAGACGAGGTGGGGCAAAGCCCTGCCCCAGCCAAGGGAGCAAGGTGGATGCACAAAGAGTGGGCCCTGTGACCAGCTGGACAGAGCCAGGGACTGCGGGAGACCAGGGGGAGCATAGGGTTGGAGTGGGTGGTGGATGGTGGGGCTAATGCCTTCATGGCCACGCGCACGTGCCCGTCCCACCCCCAGGGGTGTTCCTGGCGCGCTATGGGCCCGCGTGGCGCGAGCAGAGGCGCTTCTCCGTCTCCACCTTGCGCAACTTGGGCCTGGGCAAGAAGTCGCTGGAGCAGTGGGTGACCGAGGAGGCCGCCTGCCTTTGTGCCGCCTTCGCCAACCACTCCGGTGGGTGATGGGCAGAAGGGCACAAAGCGGGAACTGGGAAGGCGGGGGACGGGGAAGGCGACCCCTTACCCGCATCTCCCACCCCCAAGACGCCCCTTTCGCCCCAACGGTCTCTTGGACAAAGCCGTGAGCAACGTGATCGCCTCCCTCACCTGCGGGCGCCGCTTCGAGTACGACGACCCTCGCTTCCTCAGGCTGCTGGACCTAGCTCAGGAGGGACTGAAGGAGGAGTCGGGCTTTCTGCGCGAGGTGCGGAGCGAGAGACCGAGGAGTCTCTGCAGGGCGAGCTCCCGAGAGGTGCCGGGGCTGGACTGGGGCCTCGGAAGAGCAGGATTTGCGTAGATGGGTTTGGGAAAGGACATTCCAGGAGACCCCACTGTAAGAAGGGCCTGGAGGAGGAGGGGACATCTCAGACATGGTCGTGGGAGAGGTGTGCCCGGGTCAGGGGGCACCAGGAGAGGCCAAGGACTCTGTACCTCCTATCCACGTCAGAGATTTCGATTTTAGGTTTCTCCTCTGGGCAAGGAGAGAGGGTGGAGGCTGGCACTTGGGGAGGGACTTGGTGAGGTCAGTGGTAAGGACAGGCAGGCCCTGGGTCTACCTGGAGATGGCTGGGGCCTGAGACTTGTCCAGGTGAACGCAGAGCACAGGAGGGATTGAGACCCCGTTCTGTCTGGTGTAGGTGCTGAATGCTGTCCCCGTCCTCCTGCATATCCCAGCGCTGGCTGGCAAGGTCCTACGCTTCCAAAAGGCTTTCCTGACCCAGCTGGATGAGCTGCTAACTGAGCACAGGATGACCTGGGACCCAGCCCAGCCCCCCCGAGACCTGACTGAGGCCTTCCTGGCAGAGATGGAGAAGGTGAGAGTGGCTGCCACGGTGGGGGGCAAGGGTGGTGGGTTGAGCGTCCCAGGAGGAATGAGGGGAGGCTGGGCAAAAGGTTGGACCAGTGCATCACCCGGCGAGCCGCATCTGGGCTGACAGGTGCAGAATTGGAGGTCATTTGGGGGCTACCCCGTTCTGTCCCGAGTATGCTCTCGGCCCTGCTCAGGCCAAGGGGAACCCTGAGAGCAGCTTCAATGATGAGAACCTGCGCATAGTGGTGGCTGACCTGTTCTCTGCCGGGATGGTGACCACCTCGACCACGCTGGCCTGGGGCCTCCTGCTCATGATCCTACATCCGGATGTGCAGCGTGAGCCCATCTGGGAAACAGTGCAGGGGCCGAGGGAGGAAGGGTACAGGCGGGGGCCCATGAACTTTGCTGGGACACCCGGGGCTCCAAGCACAGGCTTGACCAGGATCCTGTAAGCCTGACCTCCTCCAACATAGGAGGCAAGAAGGAGTGTCAGGGCCGGACCCCCTGGGTGCTGACCCATTGTGGGGACGCATGTCTGTCCAGGCCGTGTCCAACAGGAGATCGACGACGTGATAGGGCAGGTGCGGCGACCAGAGATGGGTGACCAGGCTCACATGCCCTACACCACTGCCGTGATTCATGAGGTGCAGCGCTTTGGGGACATCGTCCCCCTGGGTGTGACCCATATGACATCCCGTGACATCGAAGTACAGGGCTTCCGCATCCCTAAGGTAGGCCTGGCGCCCTCCTCACCCCAGCTCAGCACCAGCCCCTGGTGATAGCCCCAGCATGGCTACTGCCAGGTGGGCCCACTCTAGGAACCCTGGCCACCTAGTCCTCAATGCCACCACACTGACTGTCCCCACTTGGGTGGGGGGTCCAGAGTATAGGCAGGGCTGGCCTGTCCATCCAGAGCCCCCGTCTAGTGGGGAGACAAACCAGGACCTGCCAGAATGTTGGAGGACCCAGCGCCTGCAGGGAGAGGGGGCAGTGTGGGTGCCTCTGAGAGGTGTGACTGCGCCCTGCTGTGGGGTCGGAGAGGGTACTGTGGAGCTTCTCGGGCGCAGGACTAGTTGACAGAGTCCAGCTGTGTGCCAGGCAGTGTGTGTCCCCCGTGTGTTTGGTGGCAGGGGTCCCAGCATCCTAGAGTCCAGTCCCCACTCTCACCCTGCATCTCCTGCCCAGGGAACGACACTCATCACCAACCTGTCATCGGTGCTGAAGGATGAGGCCGTCTGGGAGAAGCCCTTCCGCTTCCACCCCGAACACTTCCTGGATGCCCAGGGCCACTTTGTGAAGCCGGAGGCCTTCCTGCCTTTCTCAGCAGGTGCCTGTGGGGAGCCCGGCTCCCTGTCCCCTTCCGTGGAGTCTTGCAGGGGTATCACCCAGGAGCCAGGCTCACTGACGCCCCTCCCCTCCCCACAGGCCGCCGTGCATGCCTCGGGGAGCCCCTGGCCCGCATGGAGCTCTTCCTCTTCTTCACCTCCCTGCTGCAGCACTTCAGCTTCTCGGTGCCCACTGGACAGCCCCGGCCCAGCCACCATGGTGTCTTTGCTTTCCTGGTGACCCCATCCCCCTATGAGCTTTGTGCTGTGCCCCGCTAGAATGGGGTACCTAGTCCCCAGCCTGCTCCCTAGCCAGAGGCTCTAATGTACAATAAAGCAATGTGGTAGTTCCAACTCGGGTCCCCTGCTCACGCCCTCGTTGGGATCATCCTCCTCAGGGCAACCCCACCCCTGCCTCATTCCTGCTTACCCCACCGCCTGGCCGCATTTGAGACAGGGGTATGTTGAGGCTGAGCAGATGTCAGTTACCCTTGCCCATAATCCCATGTCCCCCACTGACCCAACTCTGACTGCCCAGATTGGTGACAAGGACTACATTGTCCTGGCATGTGGGGAAGGGGCCAGAATGGGCTGACTAGAGGTGTCAGTCAGCCCTGGATGTGGTGGAGAGGGCAGGACTCAGCCTGGAGGCCCATATTTCAGGCCTAACTCAGCCCACCCCACATCAGGGACAGCAGTCCTGCCAGCACCATCACAACAGTCACCTCCCTTCATATATGACACCCCAAAACGGAAGACAAATCATGGCGTCAGGGAGCTATAGGCCAGGGCTACCTACCTCCCAGGGCTCAGTCGGCAGGTGCCAGAACGTTCCCTGGGAAGGCCCCATGGAAGCCCAGGACTGAGCCACCGCCCTCAGCCTCGTCACCTCACCACAGGACTGGCTACCTCTCTGGGCCCTCAGGGACGCTGCTGTACAGACCCCTGACCAGTGACGAGTTCGCACTCAGGGCCAGGCTGGCGCTGGAGGAGGACACTTGTTTGGCTCCAACCCTAGGTACCATCCTCCCAGTAGGGATCAGGCAGGGCCCACAGGCCTGCCCTAGGGACAGGAGTCAACCTTGGACCCATAAGGCACTGGGGCGGGCAGAGAAGGAGGAGGTGGCATGGGCAGCTGAGAGCCAGAGACCCTGACCCTAGTCCTTGCTCTGCCATTACCCCGTGTGACCCCGGGCCCACCCTTCCCCACCCTTCCCCACCCTTCCCCACCCCGGGCTTCTGTTTCCCTTCTGCCAACGAGAAGGCTGCTTCACCTGCCCCGAGTCCTGTCTTCCTGCTCTGCCTTCTGGGGCTGTGGCCCTTGCTGGCCTGGAGCCCCAACCAAGGGCAGGGACTGCTGTCCTCCACGTCTGTCCTCACCGACATAATGGGCTGGGCTGGGCACACAGGCAGTGCCCAAGAGTTTCTAATGAGCATATGATTACCTGAGTCCTGGGCAGACCTTCTTAGGGAACAGCCTGGGACAGAGAACCACAGACACTCTGAGGAGCCACCTGAGGCCTCTTTTGCCAGAGGACCCTACAGCCTCCCTGGCAGCAGTTCCGCCAGCATTTCTGTAAATGCCCTCATGCCAGGGTGCGGCCCGGCTGTCAGCACGAGAGGGACGTTGGTCTGTCCCCTGGCACCGAGTCAGTCAGAAGGGTGGCCAGGGCCCCCTTGGGCCCCTCCAGAGACAATCCACTGTGGTCACACGGCTCGGTGGCAGGAAGTGCTGTTCCTGCAGCTGTGGGGACAGGGAGTGTGGATGAAGCCAGGCTGGGTTTGTCTGAAGACGGAGGCCCCGAAAGGTGGCAGCCTGGCCTATAGCAGCAGCAACTCTTGGATTTATTGGAAAGATTTTCTTCACGGTTCTGAGTCTTGGGGGTGTTAGAGGCTCAGAACCAGTCCAGCCAGAGCTCTGTCATGGGCACGTAGACCCGGTCCCAGGGCCTTTGCTCTTTGCTGTCCTCAGAGGCCTCTGCAAAGTAGAAACAGGCAGCCTTGTGAGTCCCCTCCTGGGAGCAACCAACCCTCCCTCTGAGATGCCCCGGGGCCAGGTCAGCTGTGGTGAAAGGTAGGGATGCAGCCAGCTCAGGGGAGTGGCCCAGAGTTCCTGCCCACCCAAGGAGGCTCCCAGGAAGGTCAAGGCACCTGACTCCTGGGCTGCTTCCCTCCCCTCCCCTCCCCAGGTCAGGAAGGTGGGAAAGGGCTGGGGTGTCTGTGACCCTGGCAGTCACTGAGAAGCAGGGTGGAAGCAGCCCCCTGCAGCACGCTGGGTCAGTGGTCTTACCAGATGGATACGCAGCAACTTCCTTTTGAACCTTTTTATTTTCCTGGCAGGAAGAAGAGGGATCCAGCAGTGAGATCAGGCAGGTTCTGTGTTGCACAGACAGGGAAACAGGCTCTGTCCACACAAAGTCGGTGGGCCAGGATGAGGCCCAGTCTGTTCACACATGGCTGCTGCCTCTCAGCTCTGCACAGACGTCCTCGCTCCCCTGGGATGGCAGCTTGGCCTGCTGGTCTTGGGGTTGAGCCAGCCTCCAGCACTGCCTCCCTGCCCTGCTGCCTCCCACTCTGCAGTGCTCCATGGCTGCTCAGTTGGACCCACGCTGGAGACGTTCAGTCGAAGCCCCGGGCTGTCCTTACCTCCCAGTCTGGGGTACCTGCCACCTCCTGCTCAGCAGGAATGGGGCTAGGTGCTTCCTCCCCTGGGGACTTCACCTGCTCTCCCTCCTGGGATAAGACGGCAGCCTCCTCCTTGGGGGCAGCAGCATTCAGTCCTCCAGGTCTCCTGGGGGTCGTGACCTGCAGGAGGAATAAGAGGGCAGACTGGGCAGAAAGGCCTTCAGAGCACCTCATCCTCCTGTTCTCACACTGGGGTGTCACAGTCCTGGGAAGTTCTTCCTTTTCAGTTGAGCTGTGGTAACCTTGTGAGTTTCCTGGAGGGGGCCTGCCACTACCCTTGGGACTCCCTGCCGTGTGTCTGGGTCTAACTGAGCTCTGAAAGGAGAGAGCCCCAGCCCTGGGCCTTCCAGGGGAAGCCTTACCTCAGAGGTTGGCTTCTTCCTACTCTTGACTTTGCGTCTCTGCAGAGGGAGGTGGGAGGGGTGACACAACCCTGACACCCACACTATGAGTGATGAGTAGTCCTGCCCCGACTGGCCCATCCTTTCCAGGTGCAGTCCCCCTTACTGTGTCTGCCAAGGGTGCCAGCACAGCCGCCCCACTCCAGGGGAAGAGGAGTGCCAGCCCTTACCCACCTGAGTGGGCACAGTGTAGCATTTATTCATTAGCCCCCACACTGGCCTGACCATCTCCCCTGTGGGCTGCATGACAAGGAGAGAGAACAGGCTGAGGTGAGAGCTACTGTCAACACCTAAACCTAAAAAATCTATAATTGGGCTGGGCAGGGTGGCTCACGCCTGTAATCCCAGCACTTTGGGAGGCCGAGATGGGTGGATCACCTGAGGTCAGATGTTCGAGACCAGCCTGGCCAACATGGTGAAACCCCGTCTCTACTAAAAATACAAAAAATTAGCTGGGCGTGGTGGTGGGTGCCTGTAATCCCAGCTACTCAGGAGGCTGAGGCAGGAGAATTGCTTGAACCTGGGAGACAGAGGCTGCAGTGAGCCGAGATCGCATCATTGCACTCCAGCCTGGTCAACAAGAGTGAAACTGTCTTAAAAAAAAAATCTATAATTGATATCTTTAGAAAGATAAAACTTTGCATTCATGAAATAAGAATAGGAGGGTCTAAAATAAAAATGTTCAAACACCCACCACCACTAATTCTTGACAAAAATATAGTCTGGGTGCCTTAGCTCATGCCTGTAATCCCAGCATTTTGGGAGGCTAAGGCAGGAGGATTGTTTGAGCCTAGGAATTCAACACCAGCCTGGGCCACCTAAGGAGACCCCATCTCTACAAAAAATTAAAATACTGGCTGGGTGTGGTGGCACACACCTGTAGTTCCAGCTGCTTGGGAGGCTGAGGTGGGAGGATCACTTGAGTCCAGGAACAAAGCTGCAGTGAACTGTGATCGTGCCACTGCACTCCAGCCTGGGCAACAGAGAAAGACCTTGCCTTAAAAATAAAAAATATAATAATAGGAATGCAAAATCTAATCAAAGTATAGAAGCTAAACTTGAAAAAAATATTTTCCAGAAAGAACAGAGAAGAGGTCAGGAGCTCCAACAGCTAAATTGTTGTTTAGATGTTTCTGAAACAGGCAGCAGAGACAACAGACTAGGAGGCAAGGAAAGATGTCTAATAAATACGTTTCTTTTTTGTCAAGACAAGTTCTCACAGAGGAAGAACATGAGTTTCCAGTAGAGAAGGAAACACCAAGTGTTCATGACAATGAATGAAGGGGACCCAGCCCCAATTTTGTTGTCAAGAAATTTCACAACACTGAGGACAGAGTGGAACCCAAAAACTTCCAGAGAGAAAAAAGTCTGAGCTTCAGGAATTCAACATTCATCAGACTTCTCAACACCAACCTTTGAAGCTATAAGATAATGAAGACCTTCAAAATCTGAGAGAAAATATTTCCAATCTAGAATTCTATACCTAGCCAAATGCTATGCAAGTATGAATTGAGGTCTTTTCGGATACATAAATGTCTCAAGACTACCCCTCAGGAAGCAACCGGAGGTTGTACTTCACTAAAATAAAGGAGAAATAGAAAAGAAGATAACATGGGACCCAGCACAACAGGCAGGGAGAGCCCCTGAGCATAAGGGTGAATGGGGAGCTCAGGAGGACAGCTGGGCAGCAGACCTCCAGGGTGCCCCATCCAGATGGAATCAGGGAGATGGAGGGCTCCTGAGGTATGTCTCCATGAAAATGATCATATGGAGAAATGACCTGATCTGTCTAAATGTACTGCAAAGAGATTTCTATTTTTGGCAGAAAATTTGGATGAATTAATTATTTAATAGATGCACAAAAAACTAAAGAAAGAGAAGAAGAAAAACTAAAATCATGACTCAACTGGGACTACTGTCTACATTTTTTGTTTTGAGAAAGAGTCTTGCTCTGTTGCCCAGACTGGAGTGCAGTGATCACGTTTCATTGCAGCCTCCACAACCTGTGCTCAAGTAAGTGACTCTCTTACCTCAGCCTCCTTAGTAGCTGGGATCACAGGGCACCACCACACTCAGCTAATTTTTTTTTTTTAAATAGACAGTGTCTCCCAATGTTGTCCAGGCTGGTCTCGAACTCCTGGACTCAAGCGATCCTCCCATGTTGACCTCTCAAGTAGTTGGGATTACAGTCATGAGCCACTGTGCCTGACCTAGCTAATTTTTTTCTGATTTATTTATTTATTTTTTGTACAGAGTCTCACTATGTTGACCAGGCTGGCCTGGAACTTCTGAGCTCAAGAGATCCTCCTGCCTTCGCCTCCCAAAGTGCAGAGATTATAGGTGTAAACTATCACGCCTGGCCTGTTTACATAGTTTAATAATGTAAATCTTCAATACCGATCTAATAAAAATTGAAATATGCCTTTTAGAATGGCTTTCAAAGATAACAAATGCTGGAGAGGATGTAGAACAACTGGAACCTCTCGGTTATTGCTGGTGAGACAGCCGCTTTGAAAAAGTTTGAGTTTCTTACAAAATTAAACTTACACTTACACTTACCATATGACCCAAAAATTCCACTGCTTGCTCTTTACTCAAGTATAAGGAAAATCTATGTACACACAAAACTTGTACGTGAATATTTATTAATAGTCATTTTATGCCCCAAACTAGAAATAGTCCAAATGTTCTGGAACATCCATACAACGGACCACCACTCAATAAAAGGAACAAACTACGGATACACGTGACTAGATGAATCTCAAATGCTTTGTGCTAAGTAAAATAAACCAGACTGAAAAGGCTACCATACGTTTCCATTTATATGACAATCTTGCAAAGTCAAAACCACAGGAACAGGAAACTGTTCACTGATTGCCAGGGTGTGGGAGTAGGAGGAAGGGCTGACTACAGGTGACTATGGAGGATTTTTTTTTTTCTGAGACGGAGTCTCTGTCGCCCAGGCTGGAGTGTACTGGCACGATCTCGGCTCACTGCAACATCCACCTCCTGGGTTTAAGGTATTTTTAGTAGAGACGGGGTTTCACTATGTTGGCCAGGCTGGTCTCAAACTCCTGACCTCAGGTGATCCACCCGCTTCGGCCTCCCAAAGTGCTGGGATTATAGGCGTGAGCCACCGAGGCCAGCCACTTTTTTTTTTTTTTAAAGACAGAGTCTTGCTGTGTCACTCAGGCTGGAGTGCAGTGGCGTGATCCCAGCTCACTGCAGCCTTAACATCCTGCACTCAAGTGATCCTTCTACCTCAGCTTCCTGAGTAGCTGGGACCACAGGCACACCTCACCACACCCAGCTAATTTTTAATTTTTTTGTAGAGACAGGGTCTATGTTGCCCAGGCTGGTCTTGAACTCCTGGGCTCCACCAATCCTGCCTTGCCCTCCTCACAATGCCCGGCCCTTAGATTCTCTCTTTAACCTCTAACTCCACCCCGTCTTCCTCACTTTCAGCAGAGAGCATAGGCACCATCAGATGGGCATTTCCTCAACTTGCTGCCACCAAACCCATTCACTCACCGGCTTCTCATAGGCCATTTCCTCTTCCAGGGGAGGAGGGGAGGAGGCTCCCCTCCCTCTCCAAAGCTAGCCCTACTCCTGTGCCCCATTTCATCTGGTCTTCTCACCTGGGCATTTGGAGATCTCGTCTCACCTCAATATTCTCCTTTTCCTTTTTTCTGGCTCCTTCCATCAGCATCTAAACACATTGCTGATCTCTTCTATTAAAAAGAAAAAAGCCCTTCTCCCTTGAACCCATATTCCTTCTCCAGCTAGCGTCCTGACCCCTACCCTTCACACCAGTCTCCTGAGAGCGGTGTTGGCAGGGGGGTGTGTTTACTGCTTTCTACCTCTCCCGCGCTCCACAACCCACTTCAACCTGCATCTGTCTCCATAAGCCTCTGAAACCCCTCTCACTGAGGTCACCAGTACGCTCCTAGTCACCAAACCCAGATGACTCTTTCCTTTTTTTCTTTTTTTTTTTTTTTTTTTTTTTTTTTGAGACGGAGTCTCGCTCTGTCGCCCAGGCTGGAGTGCAGTGGCGTGATCTCGGCTCACTGCAAGCTCCGCCTCCCGGGTTCACACCATTCTCTTGCTTCAGCCTCCCGAGTAGCTGAGACTACAGGCGGCCCGCCACGAGGCCCAGCTAATTTTTTTGTATTTACTAGCAGAGGCGGGGTTTCCCCATGTTAGCCAGGATGGTCCTGATCTCCTGACCTCGTGATCCGCCTGCCTCGGTCTTCCAAAGTGCTGGGATTACAGGCATGAGCCACTGCACCCGGCCCCAGCTGACCCTTTCTTTAACGACCTCGCCTTTTCTCTTGGCTGCTTGACCTCTCATGCTCTGGTTTTCCTCCTGCCTCCCACTCCTCTCTCTCTCTATCTCTCAGTCTCTATCTCTGTCTCTCTTTCTGTCTCTGCCTCTCTCAGTCTCTATTTCTGTCTCTGCCTCTCTCTGTGTATCTCTATCTGTCTCTCTCTCTGTATCTCTGTCTCTCTCTGTATCTCTAGCTCTGTCTCTATCTCTGTCTCTGTCTCTGTCTATCTCTCTGTATCTCTAACTCTGTCTCTGTATCTGTTTCTGTCTCTCTATCTCTCTTTGTCTCTCTGTCTCTCTCTGCCTAAATCTCAGTGTCAAGTGTTGCTCCATGTCCTGCTGACGACAAAGACTCTGAACTTCCACCTCAGACACTCACTTCTAGGCCTTTGCATGTGCTGTTATCTACCTAGAATGTGTTTCTCCATGGCTTTCAGGAGGGCTCCCCTGACTACCTGAGTTCACGTGGGGTGGCCCTCCTCAGTGCTCTTAGGGTACTGTACTGTCCCCTGACTGAGGGACCACTTTAGGTCCGTCCACTGTCAAACCCCCAGTAGCTGCCCCTATGCGTGGGATACAGCAAGAGCTAAGTAACCAAATGAATGATTACATGGCTGTGGTTCATCCTAGTGCTTAAAGCCATGATCAGAGTTGAAAAGTTGCTGTATCTTATTCAGATTTCTACTAGCAACATATTCAATAGTAAGCTTTGTTAGTCATCTATAACCCGGTGTAAGTGAAGTTATCAGGTCTTTTTCTGGGAGGAGGTTTAGAGGAGGAAAGGAGAGAGAATGAGTCCTAAAGGAGAGAAGAGGAGTAGAAGGGGCATGTCAAGTAGAAAAGGATGTAGAAAAGGTAGGCTTGGGGTAAAAAGATAATTTTCACCTGCTTGGGTGGTTTATTGAGGGCAGCCTTTTAGGCCTGCTTACCAAAGAGGCCAGTCTTGATGACGCTAGAAATTTGCAGATAATCCTTTTACCATATCAGTGTCAGGCAGCTTATCCACCTCCTCTTGGGCTCTATGACCAAACCCAAGAAGAGCACTGAGGCCCAGCTAAGTCTGGGAGTTCAGTGCACAGGCCCCCCCTTTCGCACAGAGAGTGGTGTCTATGTGTGACATCGTGTCTTAGGGGGGCTTTATGACAGGACAACCTCTTCAACCTTGGCCAGAACAGCTTGTCAAATGCCTCGGGGTGGCTTTAAATCCCCAGTAGTGAGAGACAGCCCCTTTGTACATATCTCATTGTTTCAATTCAGCACAAACAGTGCTGACTGAGCAGCTACAATGTGCCAAGCTCTGTGTGAAGACCCATAGAGACACAAAGATGCAAAAGTGTGTAAGACTCAGTATTTTTTTTTTGTCTTTAAGACTGAGTCTTGATCTGTTGCCCAGGCTGGAGTGCAGTGGCATGATCATGGCTCACTGCAACCTCCACCTCTCAGGTTCAAGAGATTCTCATGCCTCAGGCTACCGAGTGGCTGGGATTACAGGTGTGCATCACCATGCCCAGCTAATTTTTTTGTATTTTTAGTAAAGACAGGGTCTTGTCATGTTGGCCAGGCTGGTCTCAAACTCCTGGCGTCAAGTGATCCACCCGCCTCGGCCTCCCAAAGTATTGAGATTACAGGCGTAAGCCACTGCACCCAGCCAAGACTCAGTCTTACTGCATAACACAATAAGCATATTTTCTAAATCCAAAACAAGAACACAGCCTAACAATTGAATGTCATCTATTCATTCATTCAACCAGTGTCTGCTGAGCTTCCATTTTGGTCCAAGCATTATGCTGAGAGGATCAAAGGTAAACAGGACATACAGCCTACCCTTGAGGAGCTCAAAGACTTCAAACAGACATTTTATGGTTCAAGACAATAACTTCTACCTTCCTGCAAATTTCTGTAAATGTAACAATAATTACAAATCTATGGGTGGTTGAAACTGAGGGATGGATGCCTCAGTTTCACATACACATGAAACATTCACCAAGATAGGCCATATTCTGGACCACGAAACAAATCTCAATGGATTTTAAATTTATTTCAAGTATGTCCTTCAAACACTGTGGAATTAAAAATTACAAATCAGTAACAGATTCCCAGAAAGAGTCTGAGCTCAGACTCACCTAACCCTGCCCCAACCTGACAGTATTTCTCTACCCGCCCTGGTAGCTGATCACAAAAGCCATAAACTCTTGGGAGCTTTATGGCCCTGTCCATCACCTGAGAAATCCTAATACTTATCCTGGCCAACTTAGGGCAAGCTTATATCCCCCTTCCAGTATTGCAGCTGGTGTTCTCTTGAAAGCGCCACCTCCTGGCTGGAGGCCAACCAAGTCAGGACATTACAGCAACTCACAACAGAATAACCCTGCTCCAAGAAATGAGAAACAGCTAATTCCACTGCTTTCAACATCCTGGCTAACCAGAGCTCCTGAGTCTGTCCACGTGACAACTTCACTGCTAGCATAACCAGCATTTGAGAAAGCCAGCACAGTAAACAAAACTACAAGCAAGGACTCTCACACTCACAGTCTACTTTACTCCCCTCCCACCTCCACCAGGGCAGGTGCTGGTGTCCATGGCCAGGAGAGCTAAAGACGGATCACATCACAGGACTCTTTGCAGACATTCCTCAGCACCAGCCTGGAACCTGGTAGCCCCACTGGGTGGCTGGACCCAGAAGAGCAATAGCAATCACTACAGTCTGGCTCTCACGAAGCTCCATCCCTAGGGGAAGTGAGAATGCATCACATCAAGGGGTCACTTTGTGGGACAAAAGAATCTGAACAGTAGCCCCTGAGTTCCAGATTTTTCCCCTGAAATAGTCTACCCAAGTGAGAAGAAATCAGAAAAATTGTAATATGACAAAACAAGGTTCTATAACACCTCCAAAAGACCATACTGGCTCCCCAGCAATGAATGCAAATCAAGAAGAAATCTCTGAATTGCCAGATAAACAATTCAGATGGTTGATTATTAAACTACTCAAGGAGAGACCAGAGAAAAGTGAAAACAAAGAAATGTAAAAAACAATACAGGCTATGGATTGGCCAGGCGCAGTGGCTCACACCTGTAAACCCAGCACTTTGGAAGGCTGAGGCGGGCTGATCACTTGAGGTCAGGAGTTTCAGACCAGCCTGGCCAACACAGTGAAACCCCATCTCTACTAAAAATACAAAAATCAGCCAGGCATGGTGGTGCGTGCCTGTAATACCAGCTATTTGGGAGACTGAGGCAGGGGGATTGCGTGAACCCAGGAGCCAGAGGTTGCAGTGAGCTGAGATTGCACCACTGCACTGTGAGCAACAGAGTGCTCAGAGTCTCAAAAAGGAAAGAAAGAAAGAAAGAAAAAGACAACAAAAAAAATACAGGCTATGGATGAAAAATTCTCCAGAGAAACAGATATTATAAAGAAAAAAAAATCACAATTTCTGCAAATGGAAGACACACTTAAAGAAATAAAAAATGCACTGGAAAGTGTCAACAACAGACTAGAACAAGTATGTAGGATACAATAAAATTCCTCTTCAAAGGTTTAGCCTGTTAACTTCCTTGTTCTTTGTTCTCAAACTCAACTTTCTTGTTCTCTATGCCTCCTTGTCCGTAGTTACTGTAACTGTAAACAACCTTCCTGTCAGTTCTAATCAATAACTCACATCTGTTCCCTTGGTTACCCACTCTTCACCCCTTCCTCCCTTAGAAACCGCACGTCCCACCACTGTAACTCACATTTCCCTTCCCTTCCTTATTTGGGAAAGTATTCACAAATAGCCAGTCGGGTCAGTTTAGATTGTGCAGTCCAACCACAGCCCATGAAGGAGTGACACAGAGGGAGGGATTGCATTAGGAATAAAAACCCCTGCTTTCCTTTGTTCAGTGTGCTCTTGCAATCGTGATTGACACAAGCAGCACCCTTCTGCAGAAGTAAACTGCCTTGCTGAGAAAACTTTCGCCTCAGTGCTGGTTTCACTTTGCAGCACTGAGCATTTATCTCCAACAAATCTGGGGCTCATCCAGGATTCCCATTCTCCTCCAGGGAAGGGGTCTCTGGTCACCTCTCATAAGGAGACGCATCCCACTGCCTCGTTGCGGTGGCCTCAGGGTGAGGGATCGGAACCCACCCGGTGTGACGAATAAATCCGGACTCTCAGCAATGTGGGGAAAAAAAGGCTTGCAACACCATGGTGACCAGGTAACTTTGTGCACAGACCAAGGTAAGAAACGTCACAGGGGTGACAAAGCATTTCCTTGGTGGTCAAGATATTCTGGAGATTGAAAGTGTGTATGAATGATCACAAGCATTACTGCTTGCGGTGCTGCTTGTGTGAATGGTACTAAGCACTACTGCTGTGCGGAATGAGTGTGTCCTATCTGAGGTTCCATGGTCACCTCATATGGCTTAGGACAGATCCTGCCATGGGGTTTATATGGGCGTGCCAAAGGTAAGAGGGACCTAAATTCCCCTCCGGGAAGCGACCAGAGTGGACGAAGCAAAAGAAGGGTGCAAGGAGCCTCCAGCAGGTGGGGCTAAAGGATAGAAATCTCTAGTATGAGGAATTGAGCCTCAATAAGCCTCCAGAAAAGGAGAGGCAAGAAATCTCTAATACGAGGGATTGAGCCTCAGCAAGCCTCCAGAAAAGGATAGGCAAGAAATCTCTAATATGAGGGACTGAGCCTAACTAGGACCCAACATGGGAAACACCCCAAGCAGGACACGGAGTAAAAAGGATAAAGACAGCAATAAAGATATTCCTGCTGTTAGTCCCCTAGGTCTCATGTTAAAATATTGGAAAGATAATGAGAGAACTAAACATAAGAAAAAGCAACAAATGACAAACAATTGCTGTTTTATTTGGACTCAGGGACCCATCCTCAAACCCTCAATCTTTTGGTCAAAGTTTGGGTTGAACAAGGATGTGATGTGTCAACTTCTAATTCAATATGTAAATGATAAAAGTCCAGTTTCTCAAGAAGAATTGGCCTATGCTCTTTGTTGGAGGCAGGGACCTGTCCTCCTCTTTCCCTTAAAGACAACTAGGGAAAAACCCAATCTAGCACCTCAAACTGAAGAGTGAGAAAAGCCAGTCCCCATGCCTAAAGACTCCAGCACATGGGATCCTCTAAACCATCTTCCCCCACGCTCAGTGCCCCTAACCCTTCCCCTCAGGTAGCAGCTGCTGTCCCCGTTCCTGCTCCAGATCCTTCTCCTGCTCATGTTATTCCTCCTCCTTACAATCCTGATTCTTGGGAATCACCATCCCATTAGCCTGTTCCTTCTCAGCCTAAGTACCCCTCCCTAAAAGGACTCCAACGTGAGGTAGAACAATGTAAAAAAGATATCCAAAATTTCCCATTTCCCTCCACATCTATGGAGTCAGCCCCAACTCTCTTCCCCTTAAAAGAGGTGCCACAAGGACAGGGGGGCTATTAATTTTGTGAATGCTCCCTTAACCAGTTCAGAGGTCTGAAGTTTGAAGAAGGAACTTAAGCCGTTATTGGATGACCTTATTGGGTAACAGATCAGGTTGATCAATTCTTAGGACCTCAGTTATACACTTGGGTGGAGTTAATGTCCATCCTAGGCGTCCTCTTTTCTTTTTTTTTTTTTTTTTTTTTGAGACGGAGTCTCGCTCTGTCGCCCAGGCGGGACTGCGGACTGCAGTGGCGCAATCTCGGCTCACTGCAAGCTCCGCTTCCCGGGTTCACGCCATTCTCCTGCCTCAGCCTCCCGAGTAGCTGGGACTACAGGCGCCCGCCACTGCGCCCGGCTAATTTTTTTTGTATTTTTAGTAGAGACGGGGTTTCACCTTGTTAGCCAGGATGGTCTCGATCTCCTGACCTCATGATCCACCCGCCTCGGCCTCCCAAAGTGCTGGGATTACAGGCGTGAGCCACCGCGCCCGGCCTGCGTCCTCTTTTCAGGGGAGGAAAGAAGCATGATCTGTAGGGCTGCTATGGCAATTTGGGAACACGAACACCCTCCTGGTCAAACATTCCTACCGCAGATCAAAAGTTTCCCACCCAAGACCCCCGGTGGGACGATATTAATGCAGCTCACTGGGAAAATATGCAAGACCTAAGGGAAATGATAATAAAGGGAATTAGGGAATCAGTACCCTGAACCCAAAACCTCTCTAAAGCATTTGATATACAATAGGAAAAAGATGAGGGGGCCTATGAAATTTCTAGACAAGAATAAAGGACCAAACAAGACAATATGCAGGCCTAAATTTGGAAGATCTCCTTGGACAGGGAGTGTTAAAGCTCCATTTTGTCACTACAAGTTGGCCAGATATTTCAAAAAAGTTACAAAAATTAGAAGACTGGGAAAACCAACCTCTAAGTGAACTTCTGGGAGAAGCTCAAAAAATATATGTGAGGAAAGAAGCAAAAACAAAAGGCAAAAACTCACGTTATCCACTTTCCAGCAGGTGGCCCCACACCCACATGCTTCTAAACAAAGCTTCCAGGGGGCCAGAAACGATAGACGGTCCAGACCCTCATTTATGCTTCTAAACAAAGCTTCCAGGGGGCCAGAAACTATAAAAGGTCCAGACCCTCGTTTATGCTTCTAAACAAAGCTTCCAGGGGGCCAGAAACTATAAAAGGTCCAGACCCTCATTTATGCTTCTAAACAAAGCTTCCAGGGGGCCAGAAACTATAAAAGGTCCAGACCCTCGTTTATGCTTCTAAACAAAGCTTCCAGGGGGCCAGAAACTATAAAAGGTCCAGACCCTCGTTTATGCTTCTAAACAAAGCTTCCAGGGGGCCAGAAACTATAAAAGGTCCAGACCCTCGTTTATGCTTCTAAACAAAGCTTCCAGGGGGCCAGAAACTATAAACGGTCCGTCCAGACCGTTTGAAGGGCAGGCCACTTCAAAAGAGAATGTCCCAAACTGGAAAAGGAGAAAGAAGCCCTTCAACTCATGACTTTTGAGGAAGAACAGGGGGGTCAGGGGCTCTGTTTATCTCGAGTCCCACCAGGAGCCCTTGATAAATTTACAGGTGGGAACCAAACATGAGCTTATCACCTTTTAGTCAATTCAGGAGTGGCTCGCTCCTCCATTTGCTTCCCCCCATCCAACATTGCCTGCTCTTCAGAAGAACTTTTAGTCTCTGGGGTAAAAGGAGAAGGATTTAAAGCAAAAATCTTAGAAAGTACAGAAGTTAAATACCAAGATCGGCTGACTCATATCCAATTTTTGTTGATCCCTGAGGCAGAAACTAATCTATTAGGAAGAGACTTAATGCTAGAATTAGGCACAGGCTTACAAGTTGGTCCTAAAGGATTCTTTACCTCATTAAACCTACTCACCACCACAGATGAAAAATGCATTAATCCTAGTGTCTGGTCAAGGGAAGGAAACCGGGAGAAACTCTGAATCCCTCCAATCCACATCAAGTTAAGAATCCCCAGGGAAGTAGTAAGGAGGAAACAATACCCCAAACCCCTAGAGGGCAGGATAGGATTAAAGCCTATAATTGAAAGTCTTATTAAAGATGGGCTCCTTGAACCCTGTATGTCCCCGTATAACACTCCAATATTGCCAGTCAAGAAATTAGATGCGTCATACCGACTTGGTACAAGATCTTAGAGCCATCAAATAGTCCAAACTAACCATCCTGTTGTCCCCAACCCATACACCATTCTCAGCAAAATTCCAAAAAACCATCAGTTGTTTACAGTAATAGATTTAAAAGATGCCTTCTGGGCATGCCCCTTGGCTGAAGACAGCTGAGACATATTTGCTTTTGAGTGGTAGGATCCCCATTCAGGGCGAAAACAACATTATTGATGGACAGTTTTACCTCAAGGGTTTACAGACTCTCCAAACCTTTTTGGTCAAATTTTAGAACAAGTGTTAGAAAAAGTTGTCATCCCAAAGCAAATATGCCTGCTCCAGTACATGGATGATATTCTCGTATCTGTTGAAGATGTAGAGAAAGTAGCTGGCTTCTCTACACATATCCTTAACCATCTGGAGTTCGAGGGGTTATGGTTCTTAAAGGGAAAGCTTCAGTATGTGGAGCCTGAAGTTAAATATTTAGGCCACTTAATAAGTGCAGGTAAGCAAAGGATAGGACCTGAACGAGTTGAAGGCATCGTGTCCTTACCCTTGCCTCAAACTAAGCAATAACTCAGAAAATTTCTAGGATTAGTTGGATATTGATGCTTATGGATTGACTCATATGCCCTAAAAAGTAAACTTTTATATGAAAAGCTTACCCAGTGGAAACTGGACCGTCTCCTGTGGACTTCTGAGGAAGTCAATCAGGTTGAAGAGCTGAAATACAAACTCATAACTGCCCCTGTCTTAGCCTTAGCTTCCCTAGAAAAGCCATTTCATCTTTTTGTTAATGTAAATAACGGGGTAGCTTTAGGGGTTCTTACTCAAGAACATGGTGGTCACCGGCAGCCCGTAGCCTTCCTATCAAAAATTTTAGACCCAGTCACCTGTGGGTAGCCTCAGTGCATCCAATTCGTTGCAGCTACAGCAGTATTAGTTGAAGAAAGTAGAAAATTAATCTTTGGGGGGAAATTGACTGTAAGCACACCCCACCAAGTTAGAGCTATTTTAAATAAAAAAGCAGGAAGGTGGCTCACTGACTCCAGAATCTTAAAATAGGAGGCTATTTTACTAAAAAGATGATTTAACCTTGACTACTGATAACTCACTCAATCCGAGAGGTTTCTTAACAGGGGACCCAAATCTAAAAAGAGAACACTTATGTCTAGATCTAACTGACTACCAAACAAAGGTCAGGCCGGATCTAAGAGAGACCCCTTTCAAAATGGGGTGACACTTATTTATAGATGGTTGATCCCAAGCAATTAAAGGAGAAAAATACAATGGGTATTCAGTAATTGATGGAGAAACTCTTGAAGAAACAGAGTCAGGAAGGTTGCCCAATAGTTGGTCTGCCAAAGCATGTGAACTATTTGCACTCAGCCAGGTTTTAAAACACTTACAGAGCAAGGAAGGAACTATTCATACTGATTCTAAATACATTTTTGGAGTAGCTCATATATTTGGAAAAATTTGGGCTGAGCAAGGTCTTATTAATACTAAAGGCCAGGCCAGGCGCGGTGGCTCATGCCTGTAATCCCAGCACTTTGGGAGGCTGAGGTGGGCGGATCACGAGGTCAGGAGATCAAGACCATCCTGGCTAACATGGTGAAACCCCGTCTCTACTAAAAATACAAAAAAATTAGCCAGGTGTGGTAGCGGGATCCTGTAGTCCCAGCTACTCAGGAGGCTGAGGCAGGAGAATGGCGTGAACCCGGGAGGTGGAACTTGCAATGAGCTGAGATCGTGCCACTGCACTCCAGCCTGGGTGACAGAGCAAGACTCCGTCTCAAAAAAACACCAAAAAACAAAAAAAAACTAAAGGCCAAAATATCTTACCCACGAGGAGCTAATCGTCCATGTTTTAAACAATCTCCAGTTGCCAGAAGAAATAGCCATTGTACATGTCCCCGGACACCAAAACGACTTTTCCTTTACAAGTCAGGGAAATAACCTTGCAGATCAAGTGGCTAAACAGGCTGCCATTTCATCTGAAACACCTTTCACTTAACCCCTCGTCTTCCTCCCCCTGCTGCAACCCCTACCTTGTCTGCTGCAGAAAAGGAAAAATTAATAAAAATGGAGCCAAAGAAAACTCAGAAGGAAAATGGGTGTTACCAGATCAAAGAGAAATGCTATTCAAACCGCTCATGAGAGAAATCCTACCCACCTGCATCAAGGGACACACTGGGGACCCCAAGCCATGTGTGACACAGTTCTCAGGGTTTATGGGTATATACCCTAGCCAAACAGGTTATGGATAGTTGCTTAACATGTAAGGAAACCAACAAACAAGTTATAAAGAAATCATCCCTGGGCGGGGAGGGATTCAGGGCTAAGACCATTCCAAAGTGTTCAAACTGATTACATTGAAATGCCCCCAATCGGTTGCCTAAAGTACTTAGTAATAGCAGATCACCTCACTCACTGGGTCGAAGCTATTCCCTTTTCAAATGCAATGGCCAATCATGTAGTTAAAGCATTAATTGAAAATATAGTGCCCAGGTTTGGGCTAATAGAAAATATTGACTCAGACAGTGAAACCTATTTCATAGCACATATCATTAAAAAGCTATCCTAAGCGCTAGACATTAGATGGAAATATCATACTCCTTGGCACCCACCTTCATCAGGGAGAGTAGAAAGGATGAATCAGACCTTAAAGAACCATTTAACCAAGTTAGTTCTATAGATTCGGTTGCCAGGGATCAAATATCTTCCTATTGCCCTGTTAAGAATCCAAACGGCGGTTCCACCGCTGTCGCCGCCGTAGTGCGGCATGCCGCTCGGCGGAGGGGCCGGGCCTGCGTTCTCTCCTCCTTCCTCCCCGCCTCTGGCTGCCGGCAGGACCTTTCTCTCGCTGCTACTGGGACCCCGTGTCATAGCCCAGGCTGAGCACGATGCCCCCTCAAAAGGGAGGTGATGGAATTAAACCACCCCCAATCATTGGAAGATTTGGAACCTCACTGAAAATTGGTATTGTTGGATTGCCAAATGTTGGGAAATCTACTTTCTTCAATGTATTAACCAATAGTCAGGCTTCAGCAGAAAACTTCCCATTCTGCACTATTGATCCTAATGAGAGCAGAGTACCTGTGCCAGATGAAAGGTTTGACTTTCTTTGCCAATATCACAAACCAGCAAGCAAAATTCCTGCCTTTCTAAATGTAGTGGATATTGCTGGCCTTGTGAAAGGAGCTCACAATGGGCAGGGCCTGGGGAATGCTTTTTTATCTCATTTTAGTGCTTGTGATGGCATCTTTCATCTAACACGTGCTTTTGAAGATGATGATATCACACATGTTGAAGAAAGTGTAGATCCTATTCGAGATATAGAAATAATACATGAAGAGCTTCAGCTTAAAGATGAGGAATGACTGGGCCCATTATAGATAAACTAGAAAAGGTGGCTGTGAGAGGAGGAGATAAAAAACTAAAACCCAAATATGATATAATGTGCAAAGTAAAATCCTGGGTTATAGATCAAAAGAACCTGTTCGCTTCTATCATGATTGGAATGACAAAGAGATTGAAGTGTTGAATAAACACTTATTTTTGACTTCAAAACCAATGGTCTACTTGGTTAATCTTTCTGAAAAAGACTACATTAGAAAGAAAAACAAATGGCTGATAAAAATTAAAGAGTGGGTGGACAAGTATGACCCAGGTGCCTTGGTCATTCCTTTTAGTGGGGCCTTGGAACTCAAGTTGCAAGAATTGAGTGCTGAGGAGAGACAGCAGTATCTGGAAGCGAACATGACACAAAGTGCTTTGCCAAAGATCATTAAGGCTGGGTTTGCAGCACTCCAACTAAAATACTTTTTCACTGCAGGCCCAGATGAAGTGCGTGCACGGACCATCAGGAAAGGGACTAAGGCTCCTCAGGCTGCAGGAAAGATTCACACAGATTTTGAAAAGGGATTCATTATGGCTGAAGTAATGAAATATGAAGATTTTAAAGAGGAAGGTTCTGAAAATGCAGTCAAGGCTGCTGGAAAGTACAGACAACAAGGCAGAAATTATATTGTTGAAGATGGAGATATTATCTTCTTCAAATTTAACACACCTTAACAACTGAAGAAGAAATAAAATTTAGTTACTGCTCAGATAAACATACAACTTCCAAAAGGCATCTGATTTTTTAAAAATTAAAATTTCTGAAAACCAATGGGACAAATAAAGTTGGGGAGATGGGAATCTTTGACAAACAAATTATTTTTGTTTTAAAATTAAAATACTGTGTACCCTCTCCCCCCAATGAAATGCAAGTTCACTAAATGTGAACACCTTTGCTTTTCATGTGATTAAGACCCTACTCCAAATTATAGAAGCTTTTCAAGAACCATGTTACTCTCATGATACTTCATTAATCTCCATCATGTATGCCAAGCCTAACACATTTGACAGTGAGAACAATGTGGCTTGCTCCTTTTTGAATCTACAGATAATGCATGTTTTATAGTACTCCAGATGTCTACACTCAATAAAACATTTGACAAAACCAAATAAAAAAAAAAGAATCCAAACTGCTCCTCGAAAAGATACTGGCCTTTCCCCTTACAAGATGCTCTATGGATTGCCTTATTTACACTCCACTGCTGATGTTCCAAAAACACCAGTTCCTCAGGAATTATATTCTTAGTCTCTCCCCTACTTTCTCTTTTCTTAAAACCAAAGGTCTCCTAGCACAGGCTCTGCCTCTGGAGTTCCCAGTACATCAACATCAGCCTGGGGATCACGTCCTTATCAAGAGCTGAAAAGAGGAGAAACTTGAGCCAGCCTGGGAAGGACCTTACCTGGTGCTTCTAACCACTGAAACTGCAGTCCGGACAGCAGAAAAAGGATAGACCCATCACACCTGAGTCAAGAAAGCACTGTCACCTCCAGAGTCATGGGCCATTATCCCAGGGGAAAACCCCCTCAAACTAAAGCTAAGAAAAGTTTAACTCTCTTTCGTCTACTCTATTACTCTTTCTTCTTTCCTCATTCTGTTGCTGACCACCTTGTTATCAATGTGACTAAATCAAACTCACCCCAAGTTATTATGTTTGATGCCTGTTTAGTCATACCCTGTAGAGATCTCCAAAGTCAAAGGCAACTCTCAGCCTTAGAAAAGTATCTCTGCCACTTTAAAATAAAAGGCTCCCGCTACCAAGACTCTTGCTCCTCATAAAATATAGGGAAACAGGTCTGCCATAGCTGGAATGATGTTCTGTGGACAACTGAGTATCAAGGCTGGACCTCATCAACATGTGGCTGTATATACTTAAAATCATACATTCACTTTACTAAAGGAAGCACCCCTCCCCTCGATTTTCAGTATAACCAGTGTAATCCAGTGCAGATTTCTACTCTCACTCCGGCCTCTACCGACCCTCTAGACCTACTTTGAGTCGCTTCTATGGCATAGGGACCAACGCGGCACAGACCTCATAGGGTCTTTTGAAATGCGTTTTATTAATCCCTCATCCTCTTCACCCTCTTCCCTCTCTTCTCCTTCTAAGCCTTCTTCTAATCAGACTGCCATACCTTCTATACCCAATGATAAGACTAAAGTAGATATTGTAGAAGTAAATGATCTAAGGCAAACTTTAGCAATTGAAACAAAATATCAAGATGCAAATGCCTGGTTGGAATGGACCAAATATTCTGTCCGCACATGAAACAAAAGCAATTGTTATGCTTGTGCTCACGGCCAGCCAGAGACCCAGATAGACCCCTTTACACTCGGCTGGTCCCCCAGTCAACCAGGCATGGGCAGCATGGTAGCTCTCTTCCAGGATTCCATAGCTTGGGGCAATCAATCATGCCAAGCTCTCTCTTTGCTCTATCCCAAAGTTCAATATCCTGCGGGTCAGCCCCAGAGGGCCATCCAGCTTCTGGCTCCCAATGTCAATTTCACGTCCTGTCTCTCACGACAAGGGGAAAACTTGGTGTTCCTTGGAAGCTTAACAGGATGCAGTGAGCTTAAGCCTTTCCAAGAGCTTACCCATCAGTCTGCCCTTAGTCATCCTCAAGAAGATGTATGGTGGTATTGTGGCGGACCCTTACTGGACACTCTGCCAAGTAACTGGAGTGGTACCTGCACTCTTGTCCATTTGGCTATCCCTTTCACCCTGGCGTTTCATCAGCCAGAAAAAGAAAAGCCACAACACCATAAAATAAGAGAAGCCCCTTATAGGTTTTTTGACTCTCAAGTTTATTTAGATGCAACTGGAGTCCCATGGGGAGTACCTGATAAATTAAAAGCCCGGGACCAAATAGTCTGCAGGATTTGAATCAATATTTCCATGGGTAACTATTAATAAAAATGTAGACTGTATAAATTACATCTATTATAACCAACAGCAGTTTATTAATTATACCAGGGATGCTGTCAAAGGAATAGCTGAGGAGTTAGGGCTGACTAGCCAGATGGCTTAGGAAAACAGAATGGCCCTAGGCATGATACTAGCTGAAAAAGGTAGAGTTTGTGTTATGATTAAAACTCAGTGTCGTACCTTCATCCCAAACCATACTGCCCCAGATGGGAGCATAACAAAAGCCTTACAAGGACTTACCATTTTATCTAATGAATTAGCTAAAAATTCTGGAGTCAATAACCCTTCTTCAGGATGGCTAGACAGGTGGTTTGGTAAATAGAAAGGAATCATAGCCTCAATTCTTACTTCTCTTGCAGTCATAATAGGTGTACTCATTCTTGTTGGGTGTTGTGTCACACCATGCAACCATGGGCTAGTACAAAGGCTTATAGAAACAGCACTTACTAAAATCTCCCTTAGCTCTCCTCCACCTTATTCAGATAAGCGTTTCCTTTCAGACGATCAAGTCAAACAGCAAAGCCAAGACATCTTAAAAAGGTTTGAAGAGGAAGAACTATAAAAATTAAAAGGGGGAAATTGTAGGATACAATAAAATTCTTCAAAGGTTTAGCCTGTTAACTTCCTTGTTCTTTGTTCTCAAACTCAACTTTCTTGTTCTCTATGCCTCCTTGCCCCTAGTTACTGTAACTGTAAACAACTTTCCTGTCAGTCCTAATCAATAACTCACATCTGTTCCCTTGGTTACCCACTCTTCACCCGTTCCTCCCTTTGAAACCGCACATCCCACCATTGTAACTCACATTTCCCTTCCCTTCCTTATTTGGGAAAGTATTCACAAATAGCCAATTGGGTCAGTTTAGATTGTGCGGTCCAACCACAGCCCATGGAGGAATGACAAAGAGGCAGGGACTGCATTAGGAATAAAAACCCCTGCTTTCCTTTGTTCAGTGTGCTCTTGCAATCGTGATTGACACAAGCAGCACCCTTCTGCAGAAGTAAATTGCCTTGCTGAGAAAATTTTTGCCTGAGTGCTGGTTTCGCTTTGTGGCACTGAACATTTATCTCCAACAAGTAGAAGAAAGAACTTCAGAGCTTGAAGACAAAGCATTTGAAGTAACTCAACCAGACAAAGACAAATAAAAAAGAATTTTTTTTTTTTGAGACAGTCTCGCTCTGTTGCCCAGGCTGGATGGAGTGCAGTGGCGTGATCTCGGCTCACTGCAAGCTCTGTCTCCTGGGTTCATAGCATTCTCCTACCTCAGCCTCCTGAGTAGCTGGGACTACAGGCGACCGCCACCACACCTGGCTTATTTTTTGTATTTTTAGTAGAGATGGGGTTTCACCGTGTTAGCCAGGATGGTCTCGATCTCCTGACCTTGTGATCTGCCTGCCTCGGCCTCCCAAAGTGCTGGGATTACAGGCGTGAGCCACTGCGCCCGGCGAATATGAATTTTTAAAAATGAACAAAGCTTCCAAGAAATTTGGGATTACGTTAAACAGCCAGACCTAAGAATAATTGGTGTTCCTCAGGAAGAAGAGAAATCTAAACATTTAGAAAGCTTATTGGAGGGAATAATCAAGGAAAAGTTCCTTGCTCTCACCAGAGATCTAAACATCTAAATACAAGAAGCTGAAAGAACACCTGAAAAATTCATTGCAAAAAGATAATTACCTAGGCACACAGTCATCAGGTTATCTAAAGTCAAGATGAAGGGAAACATCTTAAGAGCCATGAGGCAAAAGCATCAGGGAACCTACAATGGAAATCCTATCAGATTAACAGCAGATTTCTCAGCAGAAACCCTATAAGCCAGAAGGGATTGGGGTCCTATCTTTAGCCTCCTCAAACAAAATAATTGCCAGCCAAGAATTTTGTATCCAGCAAAACTATGCTTCATAAATGAGGAGAGATAAAGTCTTTTTCAGACAAACAAATGCTGAGAGAATTTGCCACTAGCAAGCCAGCACTACAAGAAATGTCAAAAGGAGTTCTAAATCTTGAAACAAAAATAGAACCTCCTTTAAGTATATGTTTTAAAAGGCTTATAAAACAATAACACAATTTAAAAAAGCACAACTATCACTATGAATAAAACACTATCTCATAATTCAATACCAACATTGAATGTAAATGGCCTGAATGCTCCACTTAAAAGACACAGAATGGATAAAATTCACCAACCAACCATCTGCTGTCTTCAAGAGACTCATCTAATGCATAGGGACTCACATAAACTTAAGGTAAAGGGGTAGAAAAAGATACTGCACGCAAATGGAAACCAAAAGCAAGTACGAGTAGCTATTCTTTTTTTTTTTTCTTTGAGATGGAGTCTCGCTCTGTTGCCCAGGCTGGAGTGCAGTGGCACGATCTCGGCTCACTGCAACCTCTGCCTCCTGGGTTCAAACAATTCTCCTGCCTCAGCCTCCCAAGTAGTTGGGACTACAGGCATGCGCCACCATGCCCAGCTAAATTTTTTGTATTTTTAGTAGAGACAGGGTTTCACCATGTTAGCCAGGATGGTCTCAATCTCCTGACCTCATGATCTGCCTGCCTTGGCCTCCCAAAGTGCTAGGATAATAGATGTGAGCTGGCCAAGAGTAGCTATGTTTTTTTGTTTTTGTTTTTTTTTCTGAGACTAAGTCTTGCTCTGTCACCAGGCTGGAATGCAGTGGCGCTAACTTGGCTCACTGCAACCTCTGCCTCCTGAGTTCAAGCAATTCTCCTGCCTCAGCCTCCCGAGTAGCTGGGACTACAGGGGCATGCCACCACACCAAGCTAATTTTTGTATTTTTAGTAGAGATGGGGTTTCACAATGGTGGCAAAGATGATCTCAATCTCCTGACCTCGTGATCCACCTGTCTCAGCCTCCCAAAGTGCTGGGATTACAGGCATGAGCCATCATGCCTTGCCGAGTAGCTATTCCTATATCACACAAACAGACTTTAAAGCAACAACGGTTAAAAAAAAGACAAAAAGGGGCCAGGCGTGGTAGCTCACACCTGTAAACCCAGCACTTCGGGAGGCCAAGGCGGGTGGATCATGAGGTCAGGAGATCGAGACCATCCTGGCTAACATGGTGAAACCCCGTCTCTACTAAAAAAATACAAAAAAATGAGCTGGGCATGGTGGTGGGTGCCTGTAGTCCCAGCTACTCTGGAGGCTGAGGCAGGAGAATGGTGTGAAGCCGGGAGGTGGAGCTTGCAGTGAACCGAGATTGCGCCACTGCACTCCAGCCTGGGCAACAGAGTGAGACTCTGTCTCAAAAAAAAAAAAAAAAAAAAAAAAAGACAAAAAGGGACATTACATAACGATAAAAGATCAGTCCAGCCGGGCGCAGTGGCTCACACCTGGAATCCCAGCACTTTGGGAGGCTGAGACGGGCGGATTACGAGGTCAGGAGATCAAGACCATCCTGGCTAACATGGTGAAACCCCGTCTCTACTAAAAATACAAAAAAATTAGCCGGGTGTGGTGGTGGGCACCTGTAGTCCCAGCTACTCGGGAGGCTGAGGCAGGAGAATGGCATCAATCCAGGAGGCGGAGCTTGCAGTGAGATGAGAGCTGAGATCACGCCACTGCACTCCAGGCTGGGCAGACAGAGCGAGACTCTGTCTCAAAAAAAAAAAAAAAATCAGTCCAACAGGAAAATATCACAATCCTAAATACATATGCACCTTAATGGGCCAGGCACAGTGGCTCACACCTGTAATCCCAGCACTTTGGGAGGCTGAGGCAGGCGGATCACTTGAGTTCAGGAGTTCGAGTCCAGCCTGACCAACACGATGAAACCCCATCTCTACTAAAAATACAAAATTTAGCTGGGCATGGTGGCAAGCACCTGTACTGCCAGCTACTCGGGAGGCTCAGGCAGGGAAATCACTTGAACCCAGGAGGCAGAGGTTGCAGTGAGCCAAGATCACGCCACTGCACTCTAGCCTGGGCAACAGACCAAGACTCCATCTCAAAAACAAACAAACAACAAAAAAAAAACAGGTAAAGATGATACAGATTAACATCCTCATAAACACAGATGCAAATATTAACAAAATCTTATCACATTGAAAATAATATGTAAATATATACAACATTATCTATAGCATTTACTCCCAGGAATGCAAGGTTGGTTCAACATTCAAAAACCAATAAATGAAATTAACCATATTAACAGACAGAAAAAGAAAAATTCCATGATTATATCAATAGATGCATAAAATATATTTCACAAAATCAACATCTGAACCTCAAAGAAAAGAAAATTCCCAGCAAACGAGGAATTCATGGAAACATTTTCAATCCGATGAGGGGTATCTACGAAAAACCTACAGCTAGCAACATACTCAATGGTAAAATACTAAATGCTTTGTTCCTAAGTTCAGAAATGTCTTTATTTATTTATTTATTTATTTATTTATTTATTTTGAGACAGACTTTCACTCTTGTCACCCAGGCTGTAGTGTAAGGGCACAATCTTGGCTCACTGCAACCTCCGCCTCCCAGGTTTAAGTGATTCTCCTACCTCAGCCACCTGAATAGCTAGGATTACAGGTGCCTGCCGCCACGCCCAGCTAATTTTTGTATTTCTAGTAGAAACGGGGTTTCACCATGTTGGCCAGGCTGGTCTCAAATTCCTGATCTCAGGTGATCCACCCACCTTGGCCTCCCAAAGTATTGGCATTACAGACATGAGCCACCACAGCTGGCCAGGAATGTCTTAATTTAAGGCAAAAAAAGTCTGCCCTCATTGCTTTTTTTTTTGAGGCAGAGTCTCGTTCTGTCACCTAGGCTGGAGTGCAATGGCATGATCTCAGCTCACTGCAACCTCTGCCTCTCAGGTTCAAGCGATTCTCCTGCCTCAGCCTCCCAAGTAGCTGGAATTATAGGTGTGCACCATCACGCCAAGCTAAATTTTGTATTTTTAGTAGAGATGGGGTTTCACCATGTTGGCCAGGCTGGTCTCGAACTCCTGACCTCAGGTGATCCGCCTGCCTCGGCCTCCCAAAGTGCTGGGATTACATGCATGAGCCACCGCACCCGGTCTACCCTCATCACTTCTGTATGATATTGTGCTAGAAGCTCTAGCCAGTGAACAAGTCAAAAAAGAGAAGTAAAAGGCAATCAGATTGGAAAGAAAGAAATAAAACTGTATTTTCAAATAACATGATTGTGTGTAAAATCCTGTGGGATCATCCAAAAAGCAACTACAGCTTAACAAGGCTGAAGGATGCAAGATCACTGTATTAAAATCAATTATATTGCTATATAATAGGAATAAACAATTGGGAATTAAAACTTCTTAAAAACCAGTTATAACAGCATCCAAAATATAAAATACATAGACAAAAAATATAACAAAAGCTACATGCAAAATCATACACTAATAACTACAAAACATTGCTGAGAGAAATTAAAGACGATGTAAATCAATGAAGAGCCATACCATGGTCATGAATCAGAAGACTCAACATTTTAAAGATGTCAGTTCCTCTCAAATTAATCTATAGATTCAGTGTAATCAATAAAAATTCCAGCAATTTTCTTGTTGAAATTGATTGCTTTTTCTAAAATTCATAGAGGAATGCAACTCAGGCCGGGCAAAGTGGCTCATGCCTGTAATCCCAGCACTTTGAGAGGCCAAGTCAGGTTGGTTGCTTGAGTCCAGGAGTTCGAGACAAGCCTGGGCAACGTGGTTAAACCCTGTCTCTACAAAAAGTACAAAAATTAGCTGGGTGTGGTGGTGCATGCCTGTAATTCCAGCTACCCGGGAGCCTGAGGCAGGAGAATCTTTTGAACCTGGGAGGCAGAGGTTGCAGTGCACCGAGATCGTGCCACTGCACTTCAGCCTGGGCGACAGAGTGAGACTCCATCTCAAAAAAAAAAAATACAGTTATGAACATGTTGAAAAAATAAAAAAGAGTCTCAGCATAGAAATAGGAGATATAAGGAAGAATCAGATAGAAATTTTAGAAATAGAAAATACAACAACGAAATAAAAAGCTCAGTGAATGGGCTCAAAAGTGGAAAAGAGGACAACACAAGCAGTTAACTGGAAGACAGGACAACAGAAATTACTCAATCTGAACAACAGAGAGAAAATGGACTGGAAAAAGTAAACAAGAAAGAAAAGAGAAAATAAAAGAGGCCGGTACAGTGGCTCATGCCTGTAACCCCAGCACTTTGGGAGGCTGAGGTGGGTGGATCATGAGGTCAGGAGATCGAGACCATCCCTGGCTAACACGGTGAAACCCCGTCTCTGCTAAAAATACAAAAACGAAATTAGCCGAGCATGGTGGTGGGCACCTGTAGTCCCAGCTACTCGGGAGGCTGAGGCGGGAGAATGGTGTGAACCCGGGAGGCAGAGCCAAGATCGCGCCACTGTACTCCAGCCTGGGCGACAGAGCGAGACTCCATCTCAACCAAAAAAAAAAAAAAAAAAAAAAAAAAAAAGAAGAAAAGAAAAGAAACAAATAATAAACACAACCTCAGGGCCTGTGAGACTGTTAATAAAAGATCAGAGTGGGGCATGATAGCTCATCCCTGTAATCCCAGCATTTTGGTAGACAGAGGCAGAAGGATTGCTTGAGCCCAGGAGTTTGGGGCCAGCCTGGACAACATAGGAGGGGGCCGGGCGTGGTGGCTCTCGCCTGTAATCCCAGCACTTTGGGAGGCCAAGGCAGGCGGATCATGAGGTCAAGAGATTGAGACCATCCTGGCCAACTTGGTAAAACCCCGTCTCTACCAAAAATTCAAAAATTAGCCAGGCATGGTGGCAGGCACCTGTAATCCCAGCTACTCAGGAGGTTGAGGCACGAGAATCACTGGAATCTGGGAGGCAGACATTGCAGTGAGCCAAGATCATGCCACTGCACTCCAGCCTGGTGAAAGAGCGAGACTCCGCCTCAAAAACAAAAAAATTGAGTGTGGTGGTGCACACCTGTGGTCCCAGCTACTCTGGGGACTGAAGTGGGAGGAACGCTTCGGCCTGGAAGGTCTAGGTTGCAGTGAGCCATGATTCTGCCACTGTACTCCAGCCTGGATAACAGAGCAAGACCCTGTCTCAAAAAAATACATTAATAAATAAATAATCAAATGAACAAATATTCAAAGAAAACTTTCCTACTTGGCAAAATGCATAAAACAATAGATTCAAGAAGCTGAGAGAATTCCAATTGGGATAAACCCAAAGAAGTTCACACCAAGATACATTATAGTCAAACTTCTGAAAACAAAACAAAAAAATTTTTTGAAAGCAGCCAGAGAAAAACAATATGTTACTTATATAGAAAAAATAATTTGAATGACAGCTTATTTCTCATCAGAGACAACAGAAACCAGAAAGAAGTGACACAACACTTTTCCATTGTTAAAAAAACTATCAACTCAGAATCCCATATCCAATGAAAATATCCTTCAAGAATGCTGGGGGAAATTGTAAAATTCTCAAAGGAAGGAAAACTAAAAGAATTTGTCACCAACTAATATGTGCCCAGTTGGTTTTTTACAAAGGTGCTGATGCAATTCAATGGAGGAAAAATGGCTTTTCAACAAATGGTTCTGGAGTAATCAGATATTCATAGGCAAGAAAATGAACCTTGAAATAAATCTTACATTATATACAAAAATTACAACAAGGTGCAGTGGCTCATGCCTATAATTCCAGCATGGCAGGTAGATCACTTGAAGTCAGGAGTTCAAGACCAGCCTGGCCAACGTGGTGAAACCCTGTCTCTACTAAAAATACAAAAATTAGCTGGGCGTGATGGTGCGCATCTATAATTCCAGCTACTTTGGAGGATGAGACACCAGAATCGCTTGAACCTGGGAGGCAGAGGTTGCAGTAAGCCAAGATCATGCCACTGCACTCCAGCCTGGGTGAGGGAATAAGACTGTCTCAAAGAAAAACAAAAACCAAAAAACAAAAACCAAACCAAACCATGGACTTAAATGTACATCATCAAACATTTAGGAGAAAATCTTCTGGACCTAGAGCTACACAAGGCATTTTTAGTCTTGACACTAAAAGCACAATCCATAACAGGAAAAATAATAAAATAGATTTCATCAAAATTAAGCACTTTTACTCTGTGAAAGACCCTGTTCAGAGGATGAAAAGGCATAGAGTGGGAGAAAATATTTGCAAACTACGTATCTGATAAAGGACTAGTATCTAGAATATATAAAGAACTCCCAAAACTCAAAAATAAATAATCTAAATAAAAATGTGCAAAAGACATGAAAAAGCACTTCAGTAAAGAGAATATACACATTGGAAATAAACTTGGGAAAGGATGTTCAATATCACTAGCCATTAAGGAAATGCAAACTAAAACTACAATGGGCTATCCCTGTACACTTATTCCAAATGGCTAAATGTAAACAGTTGCTACACCAAATGTAGAAGAGGATGTGGAGAAACTAGATCACTCATGAATTGCCAATGAGAATGTAAAATGATTCAGTTATTCTGGAAAACAATTTGGTAGTTTTTTTTTTTTTTCCCTGAGACGGAGTCTTGCTCTGTCACCCAGGCTGGAGTGCAGTGGTGTGATCTCGGCTCACTGCAACCTCTGCCTCCTGGGCATGGTGGCGTACGCCTATAATCCCAGCTACTTGGAAGGCTGAGGCAGGAGAATCGCTTGAACCCGGGAGGCGGAGGTTACAGTGAGCTGAGATCGTGCCATCGCACTCCAGCCTGGGTGACAGAGTGAGACTCCATATCAAAAAAAATAAAAATAAAAAAAGAGAGAGAGGAAAAAGAGGTTTAATTGATTCAGTTCTGCAGGCTGTGCAAGCATGGCTCCAGCATCTGCTCCTGGTGAGGGCCTCAGGAAGCTTCAAATCCCAGCAGAAGGAAAAGGGAGAGCAGGGATGTCACATGGTGACAGCAGGAACAAGAGAGCAAAGCGGGAGATGCCACACACCTTTAACAACCAGATTACAGATGAACTCACTCATCACCAAGGGGATGGTGCTAAGCCGTTCATGAGGGATCTGCCTCCATGATCCATTCACCTTCCACCAGGCTTCAACTCCAACACTGGGGATGACATTTTGACGAGATTTGGAAGGGACAAATATCCAAACCGTATCACCATATTTTGTGTTTTGTTTAGGTTTGTTTTTTTGTCACCCAGGCTGGAGTACAGTGGTAGGATCATAGTTTATGGTAGCCTCGAACTCCTGGCTTCAAGCAATCCTCCTACCTCAGCCCCTCGAGTAGCTGGGACTATAGACACGTACCACCATGCTTGGCTATTTTAAACAAATTTTTGTAGAGATGCTATCGGGCAAAATTCACCCCTGATATTTCACGTAGGTTCTTTTCTATTTTCCCTAAGTGTCGGCCGGTCTGAGAAATAAAGGGACAGAGTACAAAAGAGATAAATTTTAAAGCTGGGTGTCCGGGGGAGACGTCACATGTCAGCAGGTTCCGTGATGCCCCCTGAGCCATAAAACCAGCAAGTTTTTATTATCGATTTCAAAAGGGAAGAGAGTGTACGAATAGGGTGTGGGTCACAGAGATCACATGCTTCACAAGGTAATAAGATATCACAAGGTAAATGAAGGCAGGGCGAGTTCACAGGACCACAGGACCGGGGCGAAATTAAAATTGCTAATGAAGTTTTGGGCATGCATTGTCACTGATAACATCTTATCAGGAGACAGGGTTTGAGAGCAGACAACCGGTCTGACCAAAATTTATTAGGTGGGAATTTCCTCATCCTAATAAGCCTGGGAGCGCTACAGGAGACTGGGGCTTATTTCATCCCTACAGCTGTGACTGTAAAATACAGCCACCCCCCAAGTGGCCATTTCAGAGGCCTACCCTCAGGGACGCATTCTCTTTCTCAGGGGCGTTCCTTGCTGAGAAAAAGAATTCAGCGATATTTCTCCCATTTGCTTTTGAAAGAAGAGAAATATGGCTCTGTTCCGCCCGGCTCACTGGCAGTCAAGAGTTTAAGGTTATCTCTCTTGTTCCCTGAACGTTGCTGTTATCCTGTTCTTTTTTCAAGGTGCCCAGATTTCATATTATTCAAACACACATGCTCTACAAACAATTTGTGCAGTTAATGCAATCATCACAGGGTCCTGAGGCGACATACATCCTCCTCAGCTTACGAAGATGACGGGATTAAGAGATTAAAGACAGGAATAGGAAATCACAAGGCTATTGATTGGGGAAGTGATAAGTGTCCATGAAATCTTCACAATTTATGTTCAGAGACTGCAGTAAAGACAGGTGTAAGAAATTATAAAAGTATTAATTTGGGGAACTAACAAATGTCCGTGAAATCTTCACAATTTATGTTCTTCTGCCACGGCTTCAGCCGGTCCCTCCGTTCGGGGTTCCTGACTTCCCTCAACAGATGCAGTCTCACTATGTTGCCCAAGCTGTTCTCAAACTCCTGGCCTCAAGCAATCCTGACATTATAGGAATGAGCCACCATGCCTGGGTGACAGACCACCTTCTGTTTATCCACTTATCAACAGATAGCCATTTGGGTGTTTTTAGTTTTTGGCTATGGTGAATAATGCTGCTATGAACATTTGCATACAAGTCTTTGTGTGGAAAAAAATTTCTTCAGGGTAAATACCTAGGATTGGAATTGCTGGATCATATAGTAAGTCCACGTTTAACTTTTTTTTTTTTTTTTAAATACGGTCTCATTATTTTGCCTAGTCTGGTCTCAAACTCCTAAGCTCAAGCAATGCTTCTGCCTCGGCCTCTTACAAGTGAGTACCACCACTCCTGGCCATATTTAACTGTTTAAGAAACTGCCAGACTGTTTTCCCAAATGGCTACACCATTTTACATTCCCACCAGCAAAGTATAGAAAGTTCTAATTTCTCTATATCCTTGCCAACACTATCTTTTGTCTTTTTTTTTTTTTTTTTGAGATGGAGTCTTGCTCTGTCACCCAAGCTGGAGTGAAATGGCATGATCTGGGCTCACTGCAACCTCCACCTCCCGGGTCAAGCAATTCTCCTGCCTCAGCCTCCCTAGTAGCTGGGATTACAGGCATGCACTACCATGCCCAGCTAATTTTCCTATTTTTAGTAGAGAGGAGGTTTTACCACGTTGGCCAGGCTGGTCTCAAACTCCTGAACCCAAGTGATCTACTGGCCTTGGCCTCTCAAAATGCTGGGATTACAGGTGTGAGCCACCGTGACTGGCTGTGTCTGCCTTTTTCACTCTAGCCATTCTACTGGGTGAGAAATGGTATCTCACGAGGGTTTTGATTTTTATTTCCCTAATGGCTCATGATGTTGAATGTCTTTTCATGTACTTATTGGTCACCCGTATATCCTCTTTGGAGAAATGGTTATTCAAATACTTTACCCATTAAAATAAAAATTTCATCTTTAAGAGCAGTTTCGAGTTCACAGCAAAACTGAACAGAAAATACAGGGTTCCCCCACCCCACACACACTCATAGCCTCCCCCCACCAACAACATCAGGCACCAGAGGATATATTTGTTATAAGCAATGAAGCTACATTGACACACCAGTATCACCCATATCCCATAGTTTACATTAGGTTTCATTCTTGGTGTTGTACATCCTGTAGGGTTTGACAAATGTGTAATAACATGTATCCACCATTATAACATCCAGAGTAATTTCACTACCCTAAATATTCTCTGTGCACCACCTCTGTGCATTTCTCCCCACTCCCAGCCCCTGCCATCTTTTTTATTGTCTCCATAGTTTTGCCTTTTCCAGGATGTAATATAGTTGGAATCATACAGTATGTAGCTCTTTCAGATTGTCTTCTTTCACTTACTAATATGCATTTAAGGTTTCTCCATGCCTTTTCATGGCTTAATAGCTCATTTCTTTCTAGTGCTGAATATAGTCCATTGTCTGGATATACCAAGGTTTATTTATCCATTTACCTGCTAAAGGACATCTTGGTTGCTTTCAAGTTTTGGCAATTACAAATAAAGCTGCTGCTGGCCGGGAGCGGTGGCTCACGCCTGTAGTCCCAGAACTTTGGGAGGCCAAGGCGGGCAGATCACGAGGTCAGGAGATCGAGACCATCCTGGCTAACATGGTGAAACCCCGTCTCTACTTAAAATACAAAAAATTAGCTGGGCTTCGTGGCAGGCGCCTGTAGTCCCAGCTACTTGGAGGCTGAGGCAGGAGAATGGCGTGAACCCAGGAGGCAGAGCTTCCAGTGAGCCGAGATCGCGCCACTGCACTCCACCCTGGGTGACAGAGCGAGACTCCATCTCAAAAACAAAAACAAAAACAAAAGCTGCTGTAAACATCCATGTGCAGGTTTCTGTGTGGACATAAGTTTTCAGCTCATTTGGGTAAACACTAAGGAATGCAATGGCTGGATCTTCTGATGGGAGTATGTTTAGTTTTGTCAGAAAGCCAAACTGTCTTCCAAAGCTGCTGTACCATTTTGCGTTCCTACCAGTAAGGAGAGTTCCTGTTGCTTCACATCCTCACCAGCATTTGGTGTTGTCTCCCTTGCCCATTTCTAAACTTGGCTATTTGTCTTTTCATTACTGAGTTGTAAGAATTTTATGTATCCTAGATACAAGTCCCTTATGGAACATGTGATTTGCAAAAATTTTCTCCCAGTTTGTGGGTTGTTTAGAGGTCTTTTTTTTCTTTTCCTTTTGAGACAGGGTCTCACTCTGTCGCCCAGACTGGAGTCCAGCGGCGCAATCTTGGCTCACCGCAACCTCCACCTCGCGGGCTCAAGCGATCCTCCTGCCTCAGCCTCCCGAGTAGCTGAGATTACAGGTGCCCACCACCATGCCGGCTAATTTTTGTATTTTTAGTAGAGACGGGGGTTTCACCATGTTGGCCAGGCTGGTCTCGAACTCCTGACATCAGGTGATACACCTGCCTTGGCCTCCCAAAGTGTTGGGATTACAGGAGTGAGCCACTGCGCCCCATTTTTTTTTTGAATGTTGAACACAATGAATTTATCATGATAGTGGGTACTTCTGAAGGAGGCAGGGGTATACACAAGGTTAGAATCATACAGGTAGATATCATGGTATAGGTGCTGCGAGAGTCAGAAAACTGACTCTGGCACCAGCTGCCTGGGCTTCAACCCCAATGCTGTAAAGTAACTTAGTCTCTTTGTGCCTCAGTTTTCTCATCTATAAAATGAGTATATCAGCCGGGGGCAGTGGCTCACACCTGTAATCCCAGCACTTTGGGAGGCTGAGGTGGGTGGATCACCTGAAGTCAGGAGTTTGAGACCAGCCTGGCCAACATAGCAAAACCCCGTCTCTACTAAAATACAAGCATTAGCCATGCATGGTGGTGCGCACCTGTAATCCCAGCGATTCGGAAAGCTGAGGCAGGAGAATGGCTTGAACATGAGAGGCGGAGGTTGCAGTGAGCCGAGATTGCACCATTGCAGTCCAGCCTAGGTGAGTCTCACTCTGTCTCAAAAAAAAAAAAAAAAAAGGGTATATCAACACAATCTCACTGGTGTGTTGTGAAGCCTAGCCAAGTTAATGTACCTAGAGAACTAGAGAACAGTGGCTACTAAGGACATCTAAGGACACTTTATACAAACCTTAACTGTGTTACAACTTCTTAAGTCAGTACTGAGGTTCAAAAGCTTCCATTTTATTATTATGCTTTATAATTTATATATGTTACGTGCTTTCTTTTGTATAGCTCACTTGAATATATATATACATTTTAGAAGATAATAAGGAAGAAAAAAAGTATATCTGGTTTTTTAACCCTTCGAAATGGGAAAGTTTGGAGTAGATGCTCAGCCCCGGCCCCTGGCCCTTCCCCAATACTCACAGGCTCCTGTCAACTACACCTTCAGAAAAAGACGGAGCCTCTTAGGCAGCAGTCAGGCAGGTGGGGGCGATCTGTCAGGTGACCTAGACTCTGGGCCATCTCAGTTTCCTCACCTGTAAAATGGGGATGCTGAGGTACCTACCTGACCTATGAGAGCGGAGAACACTGAGATATCTTGCCCATGGCCTGCCCTGTGGTTAGCTGTCGTTTTTTCCTTGACACTTGTAGGCTCCTCTTCATGTTTACATAACCTCAGTGGGAAAACGCCAGCGAAGAGAGACACTCAGAATGGACGATCTAAAGTTCCTTCCAGCTTCCAAATTCTGGGCTGGTTTTCAGAGATCCAGGGCTCGGGATGCGAATGTCCCTGTCTACGATGGGGCTGCCGTTACAGCCTTCCTCCCGGGGCTCTGGAGACGCGCCAGCTCTTTGACACCTCTCCTGCGCTAAGGAAGAGTTGGTTTACAGAAAAGTAAGTATATCCTGGCCCTGCAGAAAGCCGCCAGGCGGCAGGACAAGCCCCACCGCAGCCCAGGCGCCATTATCTGCCTCAGCAGTTACCTCGGGGTCCCGCCACGAGGAGGTTCTTCAAGGCCTGCGCGCCCACGGACACTACCAAGGAGCGCGGCGGGCAGCCGGATAGCAGGACGCTGAGGGAAACCCCGCAGTCGCTCGGCGTCCCCGGCGCCAGCTCACGACCCAGCGACCTCCTGCGGCCCGAGCGTCCCCTGGCGGCAACGCCGGCTCGTTAGAGCGAGCGACAGATGGTGTAGTCCAAAGGCCAAGCGGCGTTTCTGTAGATGAGCATGCGCAGCACCCACCGTTCGCTCAGCCAGAGAGAGGCTTCCCAGCCAATCCGAGAGCCTCAGAGTCATCCTCCCGCCCACCCAGCATACAGGCGGGGCGTTCCTCCTTAGCCAATGGGAAAAGACATTCGCCCGCGGTCCGCACGCGCTGCTTGCAAAGGGGTGGGGTTGTGGAGTGGATGCTTTGGCAAGATGGCGGGGAGCGGCGTCCGCCAAGCTACTTCTACCGCCAGCACCTTCGTGAAGCCCATTTTCAGTCGGGACATGAACGAGGCCAAGCGGAGGGTGCGCGAGCTCTACCGCGCCTGGTATCGGGAGGTGCCGAACACTGGTGAGAGGTAGCGGCTTACGTGGGGACCCGGAGGCCGCCGCTCAAGGTCGTAGCCGGCCCGGCCGGGGTTTCTCATGGGCCCAGCTGAGGTCACCAACTTGGGCAGAGGCGACTGCGGGTGCTTCAGGGGAAGAGGGTCACCCGAGCCTACCATGGGCCGGACCTGGCGGCGGCGCGGTGGTCAGACCGGCCGTGCCTAGCATTCGTACGTGCTATCGGAGCTTTGGTCTCTTTTGTCCTTCGCAATTGGCGGGAGGACGATGACTGTCAGTGACACACTCACTTTGTGGGTGAGGCAGCGGAGGCACCGAGAGGTGAAGTGATGTGCCCAGGGCCCAGGCCGAGCCACTGTTGTACCCAGAACCCAAAGTCTAGAGTTGCAGAGTGTAATTATAGATGCCCGTTGGATTTTTTTGTTTGTGACAGAGTCTCGCTGTGTCGCTCAGGCTGGAGTGCAGTGGTGCGATCTCGGCTCACTGCAAGCTCCGCCTCCCGGATTCACGTCATTCTCCTGCCTCAGCCTCAGCCTCCCGAATAGCTGGGATTACAGGCGCCCGCCACCACGCCGGCCATTTTTTTTTGTATTTTTAGTAGAGACGGGATTTCACCGTGTTAGCCAGAATGGTCTCGATCTCCTGACCTCGTGATCCGCCCGTCTCGGCCTCCCAAAGTGCGAGAAAGAGGTGTTTTTGAGTGAGCTGGAGCACGGTGCCACTCCTCAGGGCTGTCGAGTCCCTGCTTGTGTGTGTGAAAAGGCGGTAGAATGTGGTGGTTAGGAGCACGGACTTTTCTTCAGGCGCTGCCCTCAACTAGCTGTGTGACCTTGGGCCAGTTATTTCATCTATTCCTCAGTTTCTTCATCTTTAAAATGGGAATAATAATTCCTTCTTCAGAAGGTTACTGTATTAAGTTAAAATATCTAGAGTGCTTAGAACAGGACTTGATGCATATTTAACTCATTAAATATTAGCTGCTGCCGTTGTTTTTGTTGTTATTTTTGTTATTTATAGGGCTTTCCTTAGCAGCAGCTTCCAAGCAGAACCCGGTTCTTTGACATATGAGAACTGTGTCTGCTCCACAGAGTCCCTGTCTTCAAGCTGACTTTTGGAAAAATTGCTACTGACCAGAACTTAAACCCACGCGATACTAGAGAAGGAGAAACTTGAGTGATCTGCTGGTTCAGGGACTGCAAATTCAGATGCCTTCAGGGGCAGGCAGATAAAAGATGTGTGTGGGGAGTGACTGTAGCAGTGTGTGTGTGTGTGTGTGTGTGTGTGTTTCGGGGTGGTGCATTCAAATTCAGCAGTTTGAAAACATAATGTTTGCCTGGCAGAATACTTCTAGGAGTACCCAGAACCCTCTCTGGTTGCAGGAGGAAGGTGCTGGGGGAAGGAGGACCACATTCAAAAAGGGTGGCTTGTGAAGGGTAAATCAGTGGCCAAGTAGAAGACAGAACCCAGGTATCCTGACTCTGAGGATCCAGCTCTTTCTAAACCGACCCCTCCCAAGACCTTCCCTCAAATTCTGTTTTGGGAAGAAAGTCCCAAAGTCAGAAGGGTCTTGAGAGGAGGAAAAGAAGGCAGAGGGCTACAGGAGCCTAGAAAGCAAGGGAAGAGGAGAGAAAAGAAGGGGTCAAGGAGTATGCATCCCTATGGGGAAGATCAGTGATCTGTAGCTGGCCAGTTACTCAAACCTGTGCCACACGGGTTTTATGGTATCCATCATCAGGACTCCAGCTGAGGAATCAAATCAAGGAAGGGGAATAAGTAATAGTGTTGAGAACTTAGAACAGCCTGAGCATTAATAAAAAACAAAAGTAAAATTTTAAGTATTTAATGAAAAAAACAGTAATGATAACTCACTTTTTTTTTTTTTTTTTTTTTTGAGACAGAGTCTCGCTCTTGTCTCCCAGGCTGGAGGGCAATGGCGCGATCTTGGCTCACTGCAACCTCCACCTCCCGGGTTCAAGTGATTTCCCCATGCCTCAGCCTCCCGAGTAGCTGGGATTATAGTTGCGTGCCACCACACCTGGCTAACTTTTGTATTTTTAGTAGAAACGGGGTTTCACCATGTTGGCCAGGCTGTCTTGAACTCCTGACCTCAGGTGATCCACCTGCCTTGGCCTCCCAAAGTGCTGGGATTACAGGCGTGAGCCACCGCGCCCAGCTAATAAAATAATAATTATTTTTTTTGAGACGGAGTCTCGCTCTGTCGCCCAGGCCGGACTGCGGACTGCAGTGGCGCAATCTCGGCTCACTGCAAGCTCCGCTTCCCGGGTTCACGCCATTCTCCTGCCTCAGCCTCCTGAGTAGCTGGGACTACAGGCGCCCGCCACCGCGCCCGGCTAATTTTTTGTATTTTTAGTAGAGACGGGGTTTCACCTTGTTAGCCAGGATGGTCTCGATCTCCTGACCTCATGATCCACCCGCCTCGGCCTCCCAAAGTGCTGGGATTACAGGCGTGAGCCACCGCGCCCAGCCTTTTTTTTTTTTTTTTTTTGAGACACAGTCTCACTCTGTCACCCAGGCTGGAATGCAGTGGCCCATCTCAGCTCACTGCACCCTCCACCTCCCGGGTTCAAGTGATTCTCCTGCCTCAGTCTCCCGAGTAGCTGGGATTACAGGCACCCACCACCATGCCCGGCTCATGTTTGTATTTTTAGTGGAGACGGGGTTTCACCATGTTGGCCAGGCTGGTCTTGAACTCCTGACCTCAGGTGATCCACCTGCCTTGGCCTCCCAAAGTGCTGGGATTACAGGCGTGAGCCACCGCGCCCAGCTAATAAAATAATTATTATTTTTTTTGAGACGGAGTCTCGCTCTGTCACCCAGGCTGGAGTGCAGTGGTGCGACCTCGGCTCACTGCAAGGTCCACCTCCCGGGTTCACACCATTCTCCTGCCTCAGCCTCCCGAGTAGCTGGAATTACAGGCACCCACCACCACACCCGGCTAATTTTTTGTATTTTTAGTAGAGACGGGGTTTCACTGTGTTAGCCAGGGTAGTCTCGATCTCCTGACCTCATGATCCGCCCACCTCGGCCTCCCAAAGTGCTGGGATTACAGGCGTGAGCCACCGCGCCCAGCCCATAAAATAATTTTTTAAAAAATACACTCAGGCACAAGAAAGTTAACTTACACGGGATCATATAGCTAACAAAAGCTGGGATTTGAACCCAGGTTGTTCAAACTCTTGAACAATGCTTTACTGCCTCTTCAAATTCAGTGGTCTTTTTCCCCAAACAAATAATAAGTTCCTTGAGAGCAAATACCATGAATCACATGTCTCATCCTCAAGCACCTAGCCTAGGGTCAGGCTAATTTTTTGGTGAAGAAATGAATGGGCGACCTGTATGTGTTCAATGAGTATCATTTGACTCTAGGTTTTATTTAACCATACAATTTCTACCCTGAGTCATGTTTTTCTCTCTAGTGCACCAATTCCAGCTGGACATCACTGTGAAAATGGGACGGGATAAAGTCCGAGAAATGTTTATGAAGAATGCCCATGTCACAGACCCCAGGGTGGTTGATCTTCTGGTCATTAAGGTAACTGACCCTCCCTGACCAATTTAAAAGATCAGCCAACTTGTCCACTACTTCTTAGTCTTTCCAAATGAACATTTTGTCTCCAAGTTTAGAAAGCAGCTACTGGTTCGGCAGTGATTATTGCTGTGTTTCAGAGAAATACTTGAACTTGGAGGTTATCATCTGGTTAAATAGATAAGATTCATCAAGGGAACATCCACTGGGACTTGCATTTTATAACCATAAAAAAAGATATAGGGAGGAAAGTTTGAACTCTTCTTGAACCTCATCCCTAGAAGTTACCACTTCATCTGAATGCCAGTTTACAGCTGGAAGAGGCAGTTAGGGTGGTTATGAGTCCTGTATAAATGGACTCAAATCCTGGGGCTGATTCTGTCCCCCTGGCCAGTCACGTTAGCATCAATGGGAGCTTCAGCATAGACCAGTCAGTAACAGAAGAAATGATAAGCAGAAACATAAGTTAAGCCAGTCAGGTTAGGTAGTCATGGGATAGGAGCCTGTTAACCTGTATGTTTCTCCTCTTGGTACCAGTTAACCACAGAGTTAAAGAATCTGAAAAGTGTCAGAAATGATTTACCCTGACCACCTCATTGTCCAGACATAGAAACTTTGCCCAGACAGAGTAGTTACTTGCCCAAGGTCATTCAACAAGTCCATGCTGAGCAGAGAATAGAATCCTGGCCTTCAGTGTCATATGCCTTCAACTTGACAACTTTGACTGATGACCTCTCTCCTCACTGTTCAGGGAAAGATCGAACTGGAAGAAACAATTAAAGTATGGAAGCAGCGGACACATGTTATGCGGTTCTTCCATGAAACAGAAGCGCCAAGGCCAAAGGATTTCCTATCCAAGTTCTATGTTGGCCACGATCCATGAAGTCATTCAGTGGAAAGATGCACGTTGATACTATTTTAGAGCACAAATAAACTCACTATACAATGGTCACTTTGTGATAGAATTCCATTGATGAACCAATTTTCTGCAGCCTCTTTTTGCCTGAGCAAGTGGGACCTTGGTATACACATCACCTGTTCTTTCCCTTTTCTTGAAATGTGGTGTTTGCTGTAAATTGGATTGAATTATTTTTCTCAGAGCCTTGCATGTCAGTAAACAGGAAGGAAGGAGGCCATCTGTTCAAAAATTGTGACATTGGGCATGAGGCTGGACGACTTGTTAATGTAGTTGTTTCTATAGCCCCTATGATTAGACACTTCAGTGTCAGGGCACAGATTATCTAAAATTAGCCAGCTCTTCCTGTCAGGGATCAGGGCAGCACTAACAGGCGCAAAAGTAGAGCTGTCAAGATGGGCTAGTTTTCCTTGGGTTCTGAAGAAAATGGATGTGCAAAGGCTTGGCTCCGCTACTTGTAACAAGCTCCAGCCCTTAAAATGAAATTAACTTCCTACTCAGGCACCCTGCTTAGGTGCACAGCTGTTCAATATACACAGAGAACAGAAATATTCCTACTGTCTTTGGAAACCCTGGTGTACCTCTCAGTGGCAGAATAAACATCAACACAGGTTCAAGAACTGATCTCTGTTTGGATGGTGGTCTTCTCTTGTGCTTCCCAGGGCAATCCAAATGATGGAGAAGGGGTTTGGAATCTATAGGTATGATCACTGAGGACTCCCATACTTTTTTTTTTTTTTTAAATAGAGATGGCGTCTCTCCATTGCCCAGGCTGGTCTTTTTTTCTTTTCTTTTTTTTGAGATGGAGTCTCGCTGTTGTTGCCCAGGCTGGAGTGCACTGGTGTGATCTTGGCTCACTGCACCTTCCACCTCCTGGTTCAAGTAATTCTCCCTGCCTCAGCCTCCCAAGTAGCTGGGATTACAGGCATGGACCACCACATCCAGCTAGTTTTATATTTTTAGAAAAGACGGAGTTTCACCATGTTGGCCAGGCTGGTCTCAAACTCTTGACCTCAAGTAATCCACCCGCCGTGGCCTCCCAAAGTGCTGGCGTGAGCCACCGCGCCCAGGCCAGTCTTGAACTCCTGGGCTCAAGTGATCCTCCTGCCTCCGCCTCCCAAAGTGTTGGGACTACAGGCATCAGCCATTGTGCATGGCCCCAAACCTTATGGCACCAAGGATCCCTTTATAATCTTTTCACGTAAGGAACCTGAGGGAAAAACTCAAGGTGTTTTTGTGTTCTCTCACTCAATAACAATAAACACATAAGACTTCTGTGATCAAACGTTATGAGGGTTTCTCCCCACACTAAGCAAGCAGTCAGTTCTGCAGCAGACACCAGCTGCCTGTCCTCCAATTCTCTTCGAACACTATCTACCTGGAGATAGCAACAGATTCCACAGGTTTGGGGCTCAGTCCCACAAGACTGCTCCCACCCCCATTAGACAACATTCACAAGTCCAAGCCTCCAGAACTTCTGAGCTTCAAGTTCCCATGACCCCTTCTTTTTTTTTTTTTTTTTTTGAGATGGAGTCTCACTCTGTCGCCCAGGCTGGAGTGCAGTGGTGCCATCTCGGCTCACTGCAAGCTCTGCCTCGCGGGTTCACGCCATTCTTCTCCTGCCTCAGCCTCCCGAGTAGCTGGGACTACAGGTGCCCGCCACCACACCCGGCTAATTTCTTCTATTTTTTAATAGAGACAGAGTTTCACTGTGTTAGCCAGGATGGTCTCGCTCTCCTGACCTTGTGATCTGCCCGCCTTGGCCTCCCAAAGTGCTGGGGTTACAGGTGTGAGCCACCGCACCTGGCTGACCCCTTCTTTTTAATTTGCTGGAGCAGCTTGCAGAACTCAGAGGAACACTTAGGTCCGTTTACTGGTTTATTATAAAGGATATCACAAAAGATACAGCTGAAGAGATGCATAGGGTGAGGTATAGAAGGGGCGTGGAGCTTCCAAGTTCTCTCCAGGCGTGCCACTTTGCAAAGCCAAGTGTTCTGTTCTCCGAAAGCTCTCTAAACCTGTCTTCTTGGGCCTTTTATGGAGACCTCATTGGATAGGGATGATTGAAGCATGGACAACACTGGAGAAATGGGATTGGACAAAAGAGGCATAATCTAATACAGATGGAGTGGGGAAGTCCAACAAGGCCTGTCTACATTTCTTCCTCTCAGGTATGGGGCAGAATCCCTTCTGAAATGGGGGTCTCATGACCTAAAATCAGACAAGGTAGGTCAGAGGATTCTTTTTATGGCCAACTGGAAGACGGGCAAAGGAAGATTATACTTTTAGTTTCTATGGCCTGCCTTGGGGAGAAAAAGCAGCAGGTGAAAGGAGGTCAGGAGAAGATCTGAGAAACAGCCTGCTGTTTTCTGAGGCCCGAAGTGCCCAACATTATAACAAAAGCCTAAAACAAGGGTTTTGGGAGTTATAAGCCAGGAAATAGATGAAAACCTATCTATATCCTCATATCACAGAACCCGAGTTTTGAATCATTCTAGTTATATTTAAGTAGTATGCTAACAAGCAGAGCTGTCATGACTGGCACTGAACACAGAATGGCATGAGGCTTTAGTTAGCCCATGAAGCTTTCTTAAGGGAAAATGCACAGTTTCTGTTGGGCTTTTGTAAACAATGAAAATAGTTCCCAGGGCCCCCAGAATAGTTCACCAGGCTCCACTGCAGCCTGGATAGCCTGGGCCTATGTTTCTCCCATAAATAAAGGACAGCAGAGACAACTGCACCAACTAGAACCTAGGGATACTGAGAAACTGCAGCCATCACTCAGTCACGCACGGCTGATATTTATTATGTTTATTCATAATTTGATTGCTTGTTTGTGCAGTGCTTAGTGGACAGCACATCTCAGGGAGCCTCCCAGAGCCTGGGGTGGAATACGGTCATGGACCATACAGGAAGCTTCACCAGACTGGGAGGCTGAGGGCCTTCCCCGAGCCTTTCTGCTGATAGGGAAGGCAGAGAAACTGAGAGCATCACCATTTCTTCAGTTAGTGCTTTCTCCTTTCTGTAATTCCTGTAAGAAAGGAAAGCAGCAGTGAACTGGGCAACAGCGTAGTCTTCCATCCGCAGACTGAAAGAATTCCACAAAGTGCTTCTATCAAACATGGCAGGAGAAAGGCAGCTTTGAGCACGTTTGGTTGTTCATGCGCACGTTAACTGGGCATTCACCACAGGCCAGGCACTGGGGGCCGCAATGTATAAAAAACGTCCCCTGCCAGCAAGAAGCTCAGAGTCTAGTAAAATTTTGCTTTGTGTGTGTTTAGCCACATAATACCGAGTATTTGAAGAGAGGTACTGGTTGCTTAGAGGAAGGAGCCGTCAACTTTCAAATGAAAGGAGGAACGAAGACTTCAAAGACACTGTAGAATGGGTGGAATTAAGACCCAGAGCTCTGGGAAGGAGCCTTCCATGTGGGAGGAACAATGAGCCAATGTTTGGGGGTGGGTATGAGTGTGAAAACTCAAGAAATGGTGAATACTGGGAATCGGTGTGTGGCTGGAAATATGGAAGATGAGACTGGAATAAGAGGTGTGACCAGATTATGGCAAGCCTTGAATGCCAGGCTAAGGAACAGGAGTGTCCTCATCTCTTGACAGAATGCCATGCAGCACATATTAGAGCACATGAAGTTGGCTGGGCGCAGTGGCTCACGCCTGTAATCACAGCACTTTGGGAGGCCAAGGTGGGTGGATCACCTGAGGTCGGGAGTTTGAGACTAGCCTGGCTAACATGGAGAAACCCCGTCTCTACTAAAAATACAAAATTAGCCAGGCACAGTGGCGCATGTCTGTAATCCCAGCTACCCGGTAGGCTGAGGCAGGAGAATCGCTTGAACCTGGAAGGCAGAGGTTGCAGTGAGTCGAGATCATGCCATTGCACTCCAGCCTGGGCAACAAGAGCGAAACTCCGTCTCAAAAAACAAACAAACGAAAACATTAGCCACCAAGTGGGCCAATTCATTAATGCTTCTGCCCCCAGTGTCCAAATGCTGCTACCAGGCCAGACTGCATCACAGACAGATGCTCCACCCTGCTTCCTGCTCCATCTAGGGTAAAGCAAGTCTTACCTGTTAGTCATCATCATCATCATCCTCTGGAACAAAAATGTCATGTTCCTCAAGTAGAGCAGCAAAGTTCTTGCTAATGAGTGTCCCGACATAGAGAAAGGGGATCACAATGGAGAACACACGGAGAAGGCCGAAGGACATCTGCAGAGGGTCAGAGTGGCAGCTGTGAGCTCCAGAGCCCACTCTGGCAGGACCAAAGAAGACCTGGCCCTCTCACAGACATACCCTCAGACCCATCATAAGCAACTTGATTTTAAAGTCCTTGGAAAAATTCAGGGCAAGAAAAGTAATTAGAAAAGGAGAAGGCCAGGCAGGGTGGCTCACACCTTTAATCCCAGCACTTTGGGAGGCTGAGGTGGGTGGACCACCTGAGGTCAGGAGCTTGAGACCAGCCTGGCCAACATGGTGAAATCCCGTCTCTACTAAAAATACAAAAAATTGACCCAGCATGGTGGTGCGCACCTGTAATCCCAGCTACTCGGGAGGCTGAGGCAGGATAATTGCTTGAATCCAGGAGGCAGAAGTTGCAGTGAGCCAAGATTGCACCATTCCACTCCAGCCTGGGAGACAGAGTGAGGCTCTGTCTAAAAAAAAGACAAAAGGCCGGGCGCAGTGGCTCACACCTGTAATCCCAGCACTTTGGGAGGCTGAGGCGGGCGGATCACGAGGTCAGAAGTTCGAAATCAGCCTGGCTAACATAGTGAAACCCCGTCTCTACTAAAAATACAAAAAATTAGCCGGGTGTGGTGGTACATGCCTGTAGTCCCAGCTACTCAGAAGGCTGAGGCAGAAGAATCACTTGAACCCGGGAGGCGGAGGCTGCAGTGAGCCAAGATTGTGCCACTGTACTCCAGCCTGGGTGACAGAGTGAGACTCCGTCTCAAAAAAAAAAAAAAGGAGATAAGGTGACTGTTATGGCCATCAAAATGGACGAAAAGTCCACTGGAAAGAAAAGTCTAAGGCACCCTAGACATCTAAAGTTAGGACACAGCCTGCTAATTACTTTAAATCCCTACAGGCAATCGGGTGCACCAGTACTAGGAGGGCCAGACTACGGTGAGCTCTGCCTGAACACGAAATACACGAAAACCGATGACAGAAAGATGTACAGTGAAGGGATATTCTACACAGTTCACTAAGTAACAGGTTCCCTGATGCCTGAGAAATTTGATTTAAAAATTTTAGAAACAGATGTATTTGAAAGTGGGCATGTATTTACACTCAAAGACTTTAGATGGATTGGGAGAATGTCAGTAAAATCTCAGCAACATTTCTCTCGTATTCCTAGAATTAAAAAAATTTTTTTTTCAACTGTTTTGATAAGGCAGGTCTTTCCCAACATGGACCTACAGTCAATTGTGTGAGTTAGCATAGGCTAGACTAGCTTTAAGAGAATTTGTTTTTTTAACTCCCACACCACACAGCCCTGCAGTCGTAAAGCAAACTTTCGCTTGATATAAGGGACTGTTTCCGTTTTCCCTAGAAAAACTCAAGCATGTGATAGCGTTCAGTGTTGGAAAAAGACAGGACCTGGTGGGGACGGTACCAGGAAGAAACCCGGATGCTGCGTCCTCAGCGCTGGCCTTGGATACGAGCTTCACCGCTCTAGCCCGATTCTTCATTTGAAAACCCGTGATTGTAATAATTCCCTGCACATCTATCAGGACTGTAAATCACATGAATTAAATATTAGGTGACAACTAATAAAAAGATGAGGCCCGTCCCACGTACCCTTTATTTACAGAGTCCTTTCAAAATTCATATTTCATCCCATAAACTAGGAGACAGGCAGGGCAGAGATTACAGGACTGCTCTAAGCTAGAAGCACACGGCCTAGTCTTCTGACTCCAGAGGAGCAGAGCACCGCACCTCTCAGGACAAGCTAATGTAAAAGGCCAACTTCCTCAGCGTTTGCCCCCCATCTTCTGTCTACCTACCATTTTCTACACACCTGTCAAAATTAGCAACTCATTAGCGTATTCTTGGTCCGCCTTCCAGTCTACGGTAATCGTTATGATTGGCCTTGGCTCCTATCAATCAGCGCCGCCCTCACGCACTCCCCACAATGATTGGCCTCAGCCCCTTCGCCCCGTCTCCAGGAGGACACTCACTTTCACCGGTTTGGGCAAAATGGCGCCGCTGCGGGTAACGATGACTGACCTCGACGGTACCAGGCTCCGGCCTGAGCCGCTCCATGCGGCGGAGACATCGCCATCTTTCCTCAAGCTAGGCCCGCTCCGGAGAGCCCCGGACCTGACGGGTGCCAATACTAGCCAGCGAGCCGCTCCGGACGCCATGCCCCCAGCTCCGCCCCTCACCCGGGCACCCGCACCCCACCGCCCAGCCCTCGTGCCGCCCTCGGGAAGAAAGCCGCCCGAAGCCTCGCGAGAGTTTGAGGAGTACACGAGAAGCCCAGCCCTCCCACTCGCGCAGTGCCGGCGGCTCCTGGGGCGGCGGGAGGGAGGTGTTTGTCACTGGCCGGCATGGTGGCGTCACGAGAGTGGCGGCGCAGCCCCGGCTCCCTCAGTCCGCGTCCTGCTGGGCGTGGCCGCGGTCTTGGGTCCGCCCGGCCGTCAGAACAGGCCTCAGCGGCCGGTTGTGGAAATAAACCCAGGGAGCGGAAGGAGTAATAACGAAAAAGCTTTACTAGTGTTTTAACCGTGTACAAAACACTGTAGCAATAAGAGAAAGGCCCGTGCTATCTGTGTTTAAACAAAATGCAGTGGCTGCGGGGCTTCCAGGCAGGGCTGGGGAACAGGCCGGGCGCCCGCCTTGGGCGCATCTCCGCCTCTTAGGGGTAAGAGGCTCAGAGCCTACCCCTTAGGCCTAGTTGGATGCGGGTCGGTCCTGCCCAAGGCCCCAGTGAGGGGAGCCGAGGCTAGGAAGGGGCAAGTTTTATGTGTTTGGGAGGGGGTGTCTCTTCCCGGCCTCTGCGTCTTCCCCCTGGAGCGTCAGTATGGTCAGGCTCTGGTGACCCAGCCGCTTTGCCTCCCGACTTTGGGAAGAGTAGCAAGGAGAGGTCCTGGCAAGTACACCCTGGGTGACAAACGGCTATGAGAGTTCCCAGGTGATTTCTCGAGCAGCTTCAGTTTACCGGAGCCCAGCCAGGAGAGAGAATTTTAGCACAGGAAACGCAATCCCGTGTCCAAGCTCCTAGAATACCCAGGACTGAGAACCAAAGCAACAGACTTTTCCCAGGGAGCCACACTGCCTCCCCACCTCTTCTTTAACCCCTCACTTGGCAGCTCCAGGAGTTGGCTGCTGAAGACAGAGTACAGGAGGGCATTTCGTTGACGTAAAAAAGCTACAAGCCCCTTCCGGGGCAAGGTCCAGCACCATCTGTTAACAGGGCAGCCAGGGAGAAAGGATGGGACCCCAGCACTCTGAGCAGAATAAATCTCTCTTCACTGGCCGAAGACCCTCTGCCTCAAAGGGCCCTACCCAGACTGCTGAGTGAGGATCCCATCCCCAATCTTCCCACCCCTCTCAGGAAGAGCTGGGTCCCAGAAACTCCTATGACACAATAAATCCACTTTCTCTGACAGTGTCAGAGCTTCAAGCCGATACTGCAGCCTACCTCGGATTTAAGTGCACAGGAGACTCCCCAGGTTGGAAATTATGGCTCTAGAGCCCGGTGTGTAGGCCAAAGGTATGGCAAGCCTGTGACAGTCTCGGGTGACATTCCCCACTTCCTTCATTTCATTAACATCCCCTGGGAGGGGGCAGTCAGGCCAGTGCAGTCAGGAGATTGGGGTCTTGCTCTGTGGCTGCTAAGTCTCCTTCCTTCTCTGGACCTCAGGAAATAAAGAGGATGGAAGGAATGGTCCCGCAGTCCCTTCCAGACACACGGGTGGATCTCGAACCTGGAGAATGCCTAAATAGCAGGAAGGAGAGAACCCATGTCCCCTCCCAAAACGCAACCTTGGAAATGGGTAAACATTTAACTCCTGAAAAAGAACTGGCCCTGGTTTCCTGACTCAAAGGGCCCAGACTTAGGGCCTATCCTGTTCCTCACATTTTGAGTGGCTCCCCTGGGCCCTCTTCTGCCAACACTGCCGCAGCTCCACGATCTCCTGGCCATACCAGTCATGCAGGGTAGAGAAGCAGGAGGTCTCAGGGGACACAGGGCTCTGCCCCTTGCCTAGGAGGAGGCTGGCAGGGCCCTGCAGCTCCCACTCAGCCAACCCCCACCCTGCAGACCTGCTGCCCGCTTCTTCAACCAAGCCCACAGGGCTGCTGTCCTTGGAGAGGCAGTGGCCATTCTCCAGGCCCGCAGCTCGGTGGTTAGGAGCCTGGGGCTTACAGCGGCTGGCAACAGACTTCCAGGATGAGCGGCGTTGCAAAGCCAGGCTCTGGCGTGCGTCCTGCAACTGGCTCTCCAACTCGCGTACCACCAGGCGCATGTAGCCA